>NC_000005.10:150654928-150955245 GCF_000001405.40 Homo sapiens | reverse complement strand
GGTTGGCCAGAAATCTACAGTAAATGTTAGACTAAACGAAGAATTATTAGAACCATGTTCATTGGTCCTTTAAAGCCATGAACAAGACAAATATTGTCATTGTCACTGCTACAATTCAGCATGTGCTGAAATTATAACCAAAGGGAAAAAAAAAAACAGAAAATGAAATAATAGGTAAAATTATTGGAAAGAATGAGAAAGAAAGCCATTTGTTCATTCTCACATTTACGCCAAAAATGTGAGAAAAATTCATTTAAGTAGAAAGGACCAAAACTTAATACAGGTTTTAGTACAGTGGGAGTTTAGTAGTTTTAGTACAGTAGTAGGGAAATTATTTTCATTTTTTTCCTGTTACAGTGAAAAGTAGAAACTCTTTGATCAAATAATTTCACTGTTAGAAATTTTTTCTATGAATATACTTTCTAAAATACCCCAAAATAATATGTTTTTTTCACAGCAGTTTATTTAAAAAAAGAAAAAAATCTCAAAATTAATTGTTAGGAGACTTGTTAGATACATGTATATAATAGGATGCTATGAGGCATTAAAAATGACGTGAATCCATAAATGGTGCCATGCAATGCTCTTTGAGATACATGAAATAGTAAGCTACAGAACAGAATTATAGAATGGTCCATTCTATAAGGGATATGTTTTCTGGAAAATTATATAGAAAAATGTGGAAACAATGTTAATTTGAGGAGAATCTTGGGATTGAGGGTGAAGATAGAGAAATGCTTTTTAATTTTTACTTCTTAAAAAAATTTCACCACTGATCAGAAGGTGTTTATTTTTATTTACTTAATTTTTTGAAACAGGATCTCACTCTGTCACCCAGGCTGGATTGCAGTGGTGCCATCAAGGCTCACTGTGACCTCAAATTCCTAGGCCCAAGTGACTCTCCTGCCTCAGTCTCCCGAGTATCTTGGACTACAGGCATGTGCCAACATGCCTGGCTAATTTTTAAAAAATTTTTTAGAGATGGGACCTTTTAATGCTGCCCAGGCTGGTCTCAAACTCCTGGGCTCAAGCAATCCTCTAGCCTCAGCCTCCCAAGGCACTGGGATTATAGGCATAAGCCACCATGCCTGGACTATTTTTATTTCTGATTGCATACCTTTTTGTACAGGTCAGAAGTTTTAAAACATATTTAAAAATCAATACCTTTGCTTCATGCCACCAGTAACTTATTAGAAAATATTAATAATTAAAATTACGTATTTCACAGCAGTTAACATAAACCACAAAAGACGTAGGAATAAACCTTACCAGAAATGTCCAAAACTGGGATAGAGAAAAGGTCAAAATTCTACCAAAGGACATAAAATAAGACGTGAATAAAAAGAAAGATACTTCATATTACTGGAAGGAAAGTTTCTGGGCTATAGATTCAGGAATAAATTGATAGAGGGTGTTTTTTTTTTCTACAGCTGAAAGAAAATCTCCAGCAAATGTCCCAAGCTCTGAGCTTCATCTTGTAGTGCACAGGAGAGTTAGTCTGGGGGAAGGAGATAGGTTTGTTGGTTTGAGGTGAGGGAGAGTGATGCTACCTGCATAGAAATGTCAGTTTTTTCCTGTTTTTTTTTTTAGACTTGCCCCTCCCAATGGCCTTTCAGTTCCCTGAGCTCCTGCAGCCCAACCACCAGATTCAGAGTATTAAAATTCACCTTGCTTTTATTTACTCATTGATACACCCCTCTTCCCCCACCTATGCTCCCTCCCCACTACATGTCACCCACTCTGCACCAGTTAGGCTTCTAGAACCTGGAAACATTTTCCAGGGACCCTACCTTCTCCCCCAGGAAGCTTTCCAGGAATTAGCTTTCATTGCCCTCCCTACTTCTGACCAGATAGTTTGGCTCCAGGGACCCTACCTTCTCCCCCAGGAAGCTTTCCAGGAGTTAGCTTTCATTGCCCTCCCTACTTCTGACCAGATAGTTTGGCCCTTCAGGTCAACTGGGGGACTGTTGCCCTACTGCACAGCATTGGCATATTCCAGTGCACACTGGCCTCCAGCCAGGCACCATGGGGTGGCCATCTTTAAGGCACATGGCCACCCTACACACTGCAATGAATCAAGATGTTAAAATAGAGATCATGAGACTAATAGGATAGACTCTTTGTGTCAATAAGATACTAAATTATAAAAAAGACCTAAGGCCATGCCAGATGAGGGTTAAATCATGTACCCCTATAGTTAAAGAATAAACTATGTTCTAACTGCCACAAGGTTTTTTTCTTTTTCTCTAGCAGCTAAACAAACACTGGCATCAAGATAAGCAAAACAGTTGCAGCTCAACAATGGCCAGACACTGACCAGCTGACTCTCCTGTTCCACAAACCATAACTACAGTTTTGATTCATCACATATTTGATAAATTATACCAGTAGATTTCCTAAATCTGAGTTATCATGCTGTTCCTGAAAAGAACATCTCAGTTTACTTTGGACTAGTAGATTCTTACTTTATGTATAGCAGGTTCTTCTTACGAATATTTTACATAGGAATTTTTGTAGAATATTAATGACTTACCTCTGATTTATATTGTTCATGTAGGTGTTATATGTGGTTTTTGTAACAAAATCATACTGGCTGAATGGAAAAAAAAACAAACTTGGGAGCTTTTCTCTGTGTGATCTAGAAAACTTAAAGCAGCTTTGCAATTATCTATTGCTTGGCAATTTGATAAAATTCACCCATGAAATTAAACAGAATATTTTCCCATCTTGTCCACATCAAACAATTCTGATTATTTCAGATGAAGTGGGATTTACCTATGTATAGCATTTATTGTCATTTGAGGATGTGGCTGTGGACTTCAAACAGGAGGAGTGGCAGCAACTGGACCTTGCTCAGAGAGTCCTATATATGATGTGATGTTAGAGAATTATAGTCATTACCCTAATTTTAGTGCATGAGGATAGAGTCCCTGAATTAGAATGTTTCCAATACTGAGCACTTTCACTTTGGTTTTGTGGCCTCAGAAATATTTATTGCTTTTGCCCTTGAAGGATTGTGCATCTCTCTTGCCTAAATAATAGCATAATTGACTCATTTACCTATAAATGATATTGACTTTGTCAAGGTAAAAATGGGTAGCTTAATTTTCCCCATTATTCTGGAGTCTCAAGCCAAGGTACTGAGGCCGAGTTCTGGGATAATTCTTCTATTCTAGTACTGATACCCAAGTTTTGTGTTATTTTGTACAAACAGTATCTACCAAAGCAAACACGACTGTCATACTGAAGCATGGAGAAGAACCATGGACACTGGGGGGAGAACCTCAAGGTTTGGACTATTAATGAGTAAGTTAGAATAAGGCATTTGAGAGATGATGGCAAAAATAAACCTGTCCCATTCATACCTGTTTTAGCCATACTTACTTTACCTCTTCTACCTCAGTCTCACTTTTTCCTTATTTTTAGTCTTTTTCATCATCTCTTTTTTTCAGATTGAAATAATATGCCAGAAGAACCAGAAGCTATCATAGCTGAAGATGTTTCATTGTCTAATGAGATAATGAAAAAATTGAGATAATGAAAATAGTGAGATAATAAAATAATTAAAATAATGAGATAATGAAAATAAGTGGCTCATTATACTCCTTTAATGAAGAAGTTTGTCAAGCTGATGATCAAATAGATGGGTTCCAGGAAAACCGAGGCAGGCTGATAAGGCAGTTTGCATTCACCAAAAATACAACAGTGTTGGAAAAGGGAGGTTTTGCATAAAATGCATTTGGAAAATTTTTCCCTCTGAGTACGAGCCTTCTTCTGAAAAGACAAAGACCTCACAAATATGGAGTATTGGGGGAATAATTGGATACATAATTTAGGTTTACTTAGTCATAACAGGAGTTTAAAAGAAACATGAACAGCATAATGAATATCATAAATTATTTAGTGACATCCATACTCTTGTGAAGAAAAAAAGAAAAAAATTATTTAGCTATAGTTTATTCCATACCAAGAATGAGAATACTTGGAGTCTCATTGACTATAATAAATGTGACCAAATGCTGACTCATGGATCATCCATTTATAAATATGTGATTAATCATGAAGACAAGATGCCCTATGAATGCAATGAGTGTGGAAAAGTCTTTGTCTAAAAGTCACTTTTTATTGTACATCAGAGACCTCATATAGGAGAGAAAGCATACATATGTACTATGCGTGTCCAGGCATTTAGTAGGAACTCATACCTCATTATGCACCAAAAAACTCATACAGGAGAAAATTCCTATGAATGTTCTCATTGCAGGAAAACGTTCAGGAAGAAGATCTGCCTCATTATATATTAGAGAATTCATACTAGGAAAAACCCCTATAATTGTAACCTATGTAAAAAGTTTTCAGGCATAGTTACATCTTAACATGACAAAAGAAATTCACACAGGCAAAATACTCTATGAATGTAATGAATGTAGAAAAGTTTGAACCCAGATGTCAGCACTCATTGTACATATGAGAATTCATACTGGAAAGAGACATTTGAATGCATGGAATGTGGGAAAATTTTCAGGCACAACTCAGAACTTTAGAAACGTGAGGATGGCTGGACATGGGGTTCACACCTGTAATCCCAACACTTTAGGAGGCTGAGGCGGGTGGATTGCTTGAGGCCAGACATTTGAGACCAGCCTGAGCAACATGGTGAAAACCAATCTCTACTAAAATACAAAAATTAGCCAGGCGTGGTGGTGCATGCCTGTAGTCCCAGCTACTCAGGAGGCTGAGGCAGGAGAGTCGCTTGAACCTGGGAGGCAGAGGTTGCAGTGAGCTGAGATCACACAACAGCACTCCAGCCTGGGCAACAGAGTGAGACATTGTTTCAGAAAAAAATGAAAGAAATAAAAAGAAATGAGAGGACTTGTACAGGAGAGAAGCCTTACTGAATGTGGGAAAACCTGTATCTGGAAATCGTAACTTACGGTTTATCAGAGGTTTCATACTGGGCATAAGCCCTATAAATGTACTAAATGTGGCAAATCTTTTACCAAGAAGTCATATCTCATTGTACATTAGATAATTTATACTGTTGAGAAGCCCTTTGCATTGAATAAATGTGCAAAAACTTTCGGCTATACTTCAGCCCTTATTAGAAATAAGAAAACACACACAGGCAAAATGACTTATGACTGACTTGATCTACAATTTGCAATTCTCTCTACATCAGAAATTTCATACTGAAGAAAATCTATAAAAGTTCTGAATGTGAGAAACCTTCAACATGATCTCCAGGCTTATTAACCATATGATTTGTACTGAGGATAAATCAGGCTAATTTAATGAATTTGGAAAATTATGTTGCCAAGATATAGTGTCACAAGGGAAGTCATTTTCCAGACCCTATATAAAACATTTCATTAAAAATACTTCAGAAAATTATAAATTAGAATTCATACATATTTTTAAATGACAATAATTTAAGTAGGTGAGATTCCAGAATTACAAATCAAATATAAAGACGGTCCCAAACTTATATAAGGATTTCATTTCTGAGTGCACTATATGAGGGAACTACATGGCTGGGGTGGTCTATACGAGTGTAACATCAATGTATATAGAAACAGAATATAGAATAATACTTACCAAGAAATTTTACACCTAACCACGCTATTTTATCTTTCCCAAGGCTAATGTCCAGAATGGTGTTTCCTAGGTTTTCTTCTAAGATTCTTACAGTTTGAGGTGTTATCTTTAAATCTTTAGTTCACCTTGAGTGAATTTTTTGTCATGAACGGTTGGGGTCCAGTTTTATTCTTCTATATATGGCTAGCCAGCTAAAAATAATGGCATTCTAATTTAATCATTCACCCTTCCTATAAAGAGGTGTTTCTCCTTATCTACTCTTTAGTTTTCCAAGGTATCATTAAAATAGAAAAGGCAAGGAAATCCTTCTTTTCTTAAAAAAAAAAAACAAAACACAACGGTTTTTAGCATAAAGAATAGGTTTCCTAGGGTCTTCCAATGCTAACTAATTCTTTTTCTGGTGAATTTATAAATTCATGTATTTAAATATTCAGTGAGCTTCAATCTATTCAGTTACTAATTTTGATGCTTAAGTGGTCTCATCTTTGGTCAGTGATAGCCTTTTCAGATTGGCTTTTGAAGAATCTTAATAGGTTTTTATAGTTTTTGCTTTCTCCTGTAAGATGTAATAGGCTTATTTTATACATTTTCTGCTTCAGTTCTTTTACCATGTAACTGCAGTACCCTTCAACTCTGACTCTGGGATCAGCCTTTTTACTTACATTGTCCAAGGGACTGAAGTAGAAGTGTTGCAAATTTCAGAGACTAAGCCGCCATAAGATTTGTGTGCTTATATTTTTGTATTTTTAGCATCACCATGAAAATATGTTCACACTAGCCCACTGGTTCCATGTGGAGAATGAGCGACACATCCTATAGCTGGCCCTGCTAACCTTCTCCATCAAGGCCAGACTTGAGTGGAGCTGTCAACCAACCTGCTGACATGAGTCAGCTGAAGTCAGCTGACTCATAGCCAACCCATAGCCACATAAATGATGATGATGATGATGATGATCACAAGCATTCTATTTTAGGTCACTGAGTTTTCTTGACACGGTAGCTAACTGACACACTTTCATTTAAAGTGTGTCTCATAAAAAATGATATAGATTTTGTATTAATCATCAAGTATGACAATCTTTGTCTTAATAGGATTTTAATCACTTTACATATAATGTAGACACTAATATAGTTGCATTGAACCATAATCTTGCCATTTTTTTGTTTGTTCCAACATTTATTTTTTATTCTTCCTTTTTTGCCTCTTTTGAAGCGATGAAATACAGGCATAACTCCTTTTACTGTGCCTCACTTTATTTTGCTTGGCAGAGGTTGCAATTTTTGCAAATTGAAGGCCTGAGGCAACCCTGCATTGAAGTTTATTGGCACCATTTTTCCAATAGCATGTGCTCACTTAAGTCTCTGTGCCATGTTTTGGTAATTCTCACAATATTGTACACTTTTTTATTATTATTGTATCTGTTATGATAATCTGTGATCAGTGATCTTTGATGTTACTATTGCGATTGCTTTGTGGTGCTACAAACCACACTTCATTGGTGAATTCTGCCAAACATTTAAAGAACACCAAGCCTTCTCAAACTTTTCCAAAAAGTTTAAGAGGAGGAAACACTTCCTAACTCATTCTATGAGGTATAGCATTACTCTGTTACCAAAGCCAAAGACACTATAAGAAAACTTGATATACTGCTGAAAGCTGGATTTGCTATATACTGTAAGGGAAAGGAAAAATGTTTTGTTTACTGGAAGTACTTGTTTGTCTCATCCTGCACTTGTACAATTCAGTCTCCGTAAGTGCTTTCACATCCCCTTCTCTATTATGCCCAATCCTAAATTCTTTTTTGCATACTGTGTAGTATGCTGTTTTAATTATTTACCTCCCTAATCAGTTGTATGTATGTTTATAGCCGTCATTAAAATGTCTTTTCCTGGATGTCTGGATCATGCTGGTGTTGGTACTATAATCATACTTATTTTTATTGTCTGAACTCTTAGAAAACATTGTCATAATATTTACAATGTTAAAAATTAAACTAGCACAATAATTGGTAGAAAGCAGCATAGTTAATCCAACTTAAACACTCCTGAATGCTTATGATGGCAATGCACTTAAGTCATACACTTAAATCCCAACATTCCAAAGTGACCCAACAATGGGTAATCCATTATTGTAAATTGCAAATTATGGTCGCCAACCTCAGGGATGGGGGTAAAATAGCAATAGCGCCTAGGAAAAGGCACAGAATCTATGCCATATTGACTTGACAATAATAACCATCCCTTTCAACCCTACTTTTTGGGCCACCTAGTGGGTTTTGTATCTTTCGTCAAATTTTTCCCACTCATCCAGGGAAACTGGGACTTCTGAAGCCTCAGGGAGGGACTTCCCGGGACACAGCGGACTTTTGCTGCTAATCCTATAATAGTTTCAGGCAAAGAGGGACCGTTGGTCACCTTACGCAGTCTCCCTCTACATTCCATCAGCGTCCTCCTTTTCCCAGGCTCCCCACTTCCCTCTTTCTCCCCTCTCCTTCGTCGTCCCCTTGCCTCTGTCCCCAGTCTCTCACTCTTGGTCCCTTAGTTTCCCATTCTCTGTTCTTAGGTCTTGCGTCTTTTTGTCCCTTAGTCTTTCTCATTTCCGCACTTTCTCCTTTATTTTGTACGTCCATCTCCTCTTCCCTGTCTCAATTTTCCTCCTTTTTTTAAAGTTTGCCCCTGCAACTTATTACCGCGCAGTATTGTAATATCTCCCTCGGAGTGTTTCTTATCATTACTCTTAATAAAAGTTCAGTATTACTGTTATCCCCTCCCGAAGTGACCGTTCCCACCATGGTGGCCCCAGTCTCCCACAGAGGAAACGCCCCGGAGAAGAACGTACCATTTACAAACACGTTTAATTGGAATCGCCAACGAAAATATTGTACCATTCTAAATTCTTCGCCTTTCAACATAAGCATCCTTAAATGGAGGACAGTAGCACTCCAACTTCTTCTCCAATCCTGTGAAATCTGTCTGCAAAAGTGTGGACCTTACTGCTCGTGTAGTAGGCCTCCTTGCCGTCGTCTTCCCCTCCCTTCGCAGTCACTGTGGTACAGTCCACATTCCGGCTCAGCGCCTGGCGAGTCCTCCGCTTGTACTGAGACGCCTGGGATCTCAAAATGGCGGCCCCGTGCGGAAACAGCGTCTGGGAGCAGTCATGTTGCCTCCTGAACAAAGCCGCTGAAGATGAAGAATGGGCAAAATCGCCCCATACGGAACAGCGCAGCCTCGGGAGCCCGTTACCTGGCTCGCGAACACGAAGCGGGAGAGTTCGCCAATATGGATGTGACAGCGGTTCCCATTAAGCGGTGATAGGATTTTTGGGACCTGATAATCAAGCTAGGGGTCAGCAGGGGGGTTTATGGGTTGAGTCTGGGATTGGTATTGGGGCAGGGTTCCTTGGGGTTCAGTGACGAGGTCTATGAGTTCAGTGATGGTTAGTGATGAGTGTTGGGAACATGTGGGGGTCATTAGCAGGGAGGCCTGTGTGATCTGTGGGTCAGGGATGGAGTGTCTGCGCCAAGTGATGGGGTGTACGTGTGGCCAGTGACTTATGGACCTGTATGACTGGTGCTATGATGGTGGTGGGGATGGATGTGTTCTGTGGGGTTTGTGATTTCTGGACCTGGCGATTCAGTGATTTTAAGGACCAAGGGCTGTTAAAGTTAGTTCCAACTTATTAGAACAGGCCTCACTTTGCAATCTCTGCAGGTCACAGACTACTCTCAAGTTGAAAACCTTCAGAAGTTTTCTCAAACCACTTGTCCCCTCCATAACTCGTGCCTTCACAGAAGAAAACATCCTTCAAATAAATATCAAAACAAATATTAAAGGAATGGGATCATTATTGTCAATTCTTTCTAGCCCAAATAAACCAGGAATACCCTGTGGTTGAATAAGTTAGGAAGCTGAGTTAGGATGAATCAGTTCAGCCCTGTCACCACAGGGAACTGTTGGGGTATGTATCATCAGTAAGAATGTGTTAGAAAGTATTTGCAGGATTTGGCTTTGTGTTAGGTGATTTTAGGGAGTGGTTAAGGAAGTGGGTCTTACTCTGGATTGAATGCTATTAGGAAACAGAGTAATTCAGTGACTTTTATTTTTTAAAAAATCTGGGAATTTCAATAAATTTTATTTAGAAGGAGGAAAGACTAGACTGAAGCTAATAAGTAAAAGTAATAGCTAAAGAAGTAGCAGACGGGAGGGGAGAGAGGGATGATTGGTATTTTGTGGATTGAACAATATTGGTGTTTCGTCATTACATGATGTCAGAGTAATCTTGTTTTTGTCTTGATCTATCCTGGTCACATAGCGGCCTTATGTGATGTTTATGTTCGTGTAATTGTTTATATTAAGTAAGAGAGTTGTGAGTGCCAGACAGGTTCTTAGATATCAGAGCATTCTAAGGCATATTCTCTTTCTTATTATGAAAGGTGTAGTTTCAGTCTTGCTTATTCGTAAGTTTACTGAAATAGTTTATGTTCTATTTAACAAATATTTATTGGACATCTGCTATTTACTCTATGGAGGGCTGGGTGTTCAGACATTAACATGACTATTTGATTGTTTCCTTCCTGATTTATTTTGACAAACCCTGGGATGGCACAAATGAAACAATCTCTCTATCATGATATTCCCCCGTTGCTCTGAATGAGTTCAGCTCTGTCTGCATGATCTATCCCAGACTGAAAAGAGTTTACCAGCTAAGTACTTTCCTGCAATGTAGTATATTCCCGTTTATTGTTCCAACCTGTCAGTAATTTTTTATACAGGCAACTGCCTTGTTGAAAATCAGCAATAAAAATTTAAACCAAAGAAATCTTAAAATCAGCAATAAAAATTTAAACCAAAGAAATCTTAAAATCAGCAATTTTAATCCACAAATATTGATTTATCAAGAGAATTTGCTGGTTTGGAGTAAAATATAAAAGAGCTTGTCTTACTCAGTTTGGGCTGCTGTAACAGAATGCCACAGATGGAGGACCTTAAACAGCAAACATTTATTTCTCACATTTCTGGAGGCAGAGAAGTTCAAGATCAAGGTGCCAGCAGGTCTAGTGTTTGCTGATAGCACTCTTCCTGTTTTGTAAACTTCTCATTGTATCCTCACAAGGCCAAGAGACAAATCATCTCTCTGATATTTCCTGTTGTAAGGGCATTAATCCCATTTATTAGGGCTCTCATTTCATGACCTAATTACCTCCCAAAGACCCCACTTCCCAATACAATCACATTAGAATTGCAACATTTGAATTTTGGAGGGACAAACATTCAGTCCATAACAGAGCTCTTAGAATTTTGTAGGCTGCTTTGGTTTAGGAAATAAGGGAATACACTCCTTAATTTTCCTCTTGGTCACTCCCATTCTTGTCTCCAGGGAACATCTGCAGTTAAATATATATTTCTCCATGATATCCATGATTATTGTCTTAAGATAGTTCTACAAATAGAAATTCAAATAGAATTGCTGGTTCAAAGGGGAACAATTAGGTGTTTGTAAATCCACAGGAAACATATCTGCATTTATCTAATTAAAAATACACCTTGCCCTATGTGATCAAATTATACACCTAGTTCTGTATGATCATATCATAGTCACAAAAGGACTAAAGGTGGATACCTCCTTCACATGGTGTTTGCTATAAGGGTCAAACGACCTTCTCCCATCACGACCTTCTCCCACAGGATGGCCTATCAGCTACCTGACTTCTGGTGGTGGTTGTTTAGAGACTGGTGAATGTTAGTTCTGGCCCATAAAAACTCCATTCTTTCTTCCAGACCTGATTCCTCAGACCTCTGCCCTATCGGAAGGGAAGCAGAAAATGATCAGGTCTCAGGTGAGCTGCTTATTTTGTACTTGGTTACCATGCAATCAAATGGAAAAATACAGAAAGCTAAAAATTAGGATTAAGAAGATGTAGAGAGAACAAATGATAAAGATTTGGAAACAGCTTCTACGTAATATGCCAATTATGTGGTTTAAACCTTATAAAACCACTATTAGAGTACAAATTATATATATATATATACACACATATATATATATAGTATGTTCATATCACTGTATTTTACCAAAGTATATAAGGTATAAATGTGTCTGATCTTTATAGCAGTCCCAGTGGAAAGATAGAGGACATGATAAACAAGATTTTCATTCTCCACAAAGGGAAATTAGCTGAATTTTCAATGAGAAGAAAATATTTCCTGCCTTTAGGAGTAAAATAAATTTATTTTTTGGGAGTCCTCCTATAGGTGCTATCCTTACCTAAACTCCTATATAAATGTATCAATAGATGTTTTTGTAGTTGTGTCTTAATATATTTATTTTAGATTTAGTTATGATTCACTGGCAAAGGCTTCGAGTGCAGAAGTCTCAGATTCTCCATAGCTTTTGCTATAGTTTCAGGGTTTGTGGGGCTGTTCCCTTAAAGTTGTGGGGAACCCTTATTTAAGTTCCCCAACTTAAAGTCATTTCTTTCTCTGCTCTTAAATGTATAAAGTCATTTTACTATTTTTTTCCTGGCTCAAGTTATGTATAATTGGTGTAAACATTTAAAACAATATAATAAAGGTAAAAAATTTAAAAATGAAATGGCCTTTCACTTCTTCCTTCCTCTTGGGATATCCATATTAATAATTTGTGCTGGGTGTGCAGTGGAAATTACTGATTCTATTGTTTTAAAAATGAAAATTCTCAACTTTTTCTGATAGCTATCTAGTTTTCCCAATACCATTTGTTGAATAACTTACTTATTAGAAATGCTTCCTTTATTATTTATTAAATTCCCATTTGTGATTAGGTTTCTTCTTGCTTTTCTATTCTCCTGATGTGTCTGACTGTTTTTTGCTAAAGACAAAATTTTACATAATTTTTCTCAGAAGGCATGATATAGAATTAGGCACATGGTTTTGCAAACTATAGTGGAAATAATGAGAATGATCGCTTCTGATTGAGCAAGAATGTACTGTTATAGGGTCCAGTGTCATTTGAGGATGTGGCTGTGGATTTCACCCAGGAGGAGTGGCAGCAACTGGACTATGCTCAGAGGACCCTGTACAGGGATGTGATGCTGGAGATCTATAGCCACCTGGTCTCAATGGGTAAGGATGGCTCCCCTGAATAACTCAGAGTTGTCCAATCCAGTGCCTCTCCCTTATCTGATTGGGTTAGGTGGGTTCCTGACCTATAATGACTTTGTGCTTTTTCCTTTCTCTAGTGAAAGTTCTTTACTTTGCAGAGGGTCACTTGGACAGCTTATTGTGGGCTCCTGCAACTGCACTTTCTCTTCTTTCTACAGTGTAGTCAACCCAATTCCTTTATGATTTCTCTATAATAGGATATCCAGTTTCCAAACCAGATGTCATCTCCAAGTTGGAACAAGGAGAAGAGCCATGGATCATAAAGAGACACATACCAAATTGGATCTATCCAGGTGAAAATGTGGCAGATGGGAGACAAGAAAAATAAATGCTCAGTTGCTTTATTTTATTTTTAACTGGCTTATGGCTGAGGCTTAGATCTCCACCCAGATTGCCATCTCCTATTTCTTCTTGCTCCTGTGGAGAGCATGTAGTAGGCATTCAACAACTAACTCATTAATAGTGAGCCATGTACAAAAAGAGGTATTTATTTTTTGTTCACTCAACAATCATAACTTTAGTGTCTTCCTAAAAGAAATTCAAAGGCAATAGAAACAAATGCCTTTCAGGGACATAGGTTGTACAAGAAAAGGTAAGTCATCATGATTCATGGCTGCATAAAATTACATGTCAAATATAGTTATGTTTTAGGAGTTTGTGAAAATTATAGTTTGAAGAGATGTGGCAAAATTTAAGAAGGTATTTTTCAGAGCATGTAGCAGCTGCTCTGAATCATATCCTCAGTGTGGCTTAGGCAGAAGGAGGGCAAGAGCCTGTAGGAAGAAGGACTTCTATAAATCTTTAGTTAGGAATTAACATAACTTTTCTGATGGAAATTCGCTAGGCTTACTTGACTTCAGTCAGAGATATTTATTAGGGGGTAGTGGAATATAAGCTTGGATACACAGTATGGATGATACACATAGTTAATGTTTTATTAGCCATACTATCTTAAGCCATTTGTATTGCTATAAAGGAGTGCCTGAGGCTGGGGAATGTATAAAAAAAAGAGGTTTATTTGTCTCATGGTTCCACAAGCCATACAAAACTTCCACTCATGGCAGAAGGTGAAGGGGAGCAGGCATTATATGGTGGGTTGAGGGGCTAGTGAGGGAGGTCCCAGGCTCTTGTTAACAATCAGTTCTTAAGGGAATTAATAAAGCAAGAACTCATTACTGCAAGGACAGCATTAGGCCCTTCATGAGGGATCCCCAAATGACCCAAATACCTCCCACTAAGTCCCACCTCTAATATTGATGATCAGATTTCAACATCAGATTTGGAAGAGACAGAGATTCCAGCTATATTACCCTGACATTTTTTGTTGTTATATACAGCCGAGGCATAACTCACATGACATACAATTCACCCATTAAAAGTAAACAACTGAGTGATTTTTAGTATATTCATAGATATGTGCAACCATCACCATAGTCAATTTTAGGACACTTTCATCACCTCAAAAAGAAACCCTGTACCCTTTAGCTATCACCCCTCTATTCAATTTCTCCATAGCCTCAAGCAACCACTAATCTCTCTGTTTCAATAGATTTGCCTATTCTGGACATTTTATATAAAATGAGCCATATAATATGTGGTCTTTTTTGACTGGGTTCCTTTTCTAAACATGATATTTGCAAAGTTCATCCACAAGTATCAGTACTTCATTCCTTTTTTTGGCTGAATAATATCTCATTGTATGGATATATGACATTTTGTGTATCCATTCATCAGTTGATGGACATTTGGGTTATTTCCAGCATTTAGCTGTTATGAATGATGCTGCTGTAAACGGTCAACTAACTACAAGTTTTGATGTGGACATATGTTTTATTTTTTCTTTGGTATGTACCTAGGAGTGGAATTCCTAAGTTATACAGTAATTTTGTAGTTAACCATTTGAGGAATTGCCAGATGTTTTCCAAAAAGTGGCTGCTCTATTTTATATTTTCCTCCAGCAGGGTCTGAGGTTACCAGTTTCTCCTTTTGGACTCTAACTACAGTAATGGGTGTGAAGTGCTGTCTCATTGTTGTCTTGATTTGCAGTCCTCTGATGATGAGCATTTTTTCATGTGCTTATTAGTCATTTGTATACCTTCTTTGGAGAAATGTCTATTCAGATCCTTTGCCCATTTTTGATTCTAACTACAGTAATGGGTGTGAAGTGCGATCTTATCGCTATCTCTCTGATTTTCACACCAAAAGTATGAGCAACAAAAGAAAAGAATAGTCTTCAATAAATGGTGCTGAAATAACTGGATAGCTACATGCAAAAGAAGTTAGTTGGAACTTACACCATAGGTAAAAATTAACTTAAAATGGATCAAAGACTAAATGTAAGAGCTAAAGTTATAAAGCTCTTAGGAAAAAAAAAAAACCTACAGGGGTAAATCTTCATGACCTTGGATTTGGAAATGGATTCCTGGATTTGACACCAAAAGCATGAACAACAAAAGAAAAAATTTAAAAACTGGACTTCATCAAAATTATAAACTCTTGTGCTTCAAAGGACATTATTAAGAAAGTGAAAAGACAAGCCACAGAATGGGAGAAACTATTTGCAAATCACACATCTGATAAGGGACTTATACCTATTGCAAAAACCACAATTACTTTTGCACCAACCTAAAAGAATATAATGAACTTCCATTACTCAATAATAAAAGGCAAAGAATCCAATTCAAAAATGAGTAAAGGATCTGAATAGACATTTCTCCAAAGGTGTACAAATGACTAATAAGCACATGAAAAGATGCTCATCATCAGAGAACTGCAAATCCAGACAACAATGAGATGGCACTTCACACCCATTAGTGTAGAGTCCATTTTGAGTTATTTTTTGCATATAAAGTTCCAACTTCCTTTTTTTGCATGTAGCTATCCAGTTATTTCAGCACCACTGATTGAAGACTGTTCTTTTCTTTTGTTGTTCATGCTTTTGGTGTCAAATCTAAGAATCCATTTCCAAATCCAAGGTCATGAAGATTTACCCCTGTGGGTTTTTTTTCCTAAGAGTTTTATAATTTCAGCTCTTACATTTAGTCTTTGATCCATTTTAATTTTTGCATATGGTGTAAAGTTCCAACTTCCTTATTTTGCATGAAGCTATCCAGTTACTTCAGCACCATTTATTGAAGACTATTCCTTTCCCATTTAGGAGTCTTGGTACCCTTGTCAAAAGTCAATTGACCATAAATTTAAGGTTTTATTTTTGGATTCCTAATAATATTCTATTCATCTGTTTATCTATCCTTATGCCAGTACCATACTCTCTTGATTATTGTGTTCATAGTAAGTTTTCAAACTGAGAAGTGTCATTTCTCCAACTGTGTTCTTTTTCAAGATTATTTTGACTAGGGCTCCTTGCAATTCCATATGAATTTTAGAATCAGTGTATCAGTTCTACAAATAAACTCCTTTGGGTTCTCATAGGGATTGCATTGCACTTACGGATCTGTTTGAGGAGTTTTACCATCTTAATATTAAGTCTTTTGACCCATGAATGCAAGATGTTTTGCCATTTATTTAGAACTTTAGTTCCTCCAATAATGTTTTATAGTTTTCAGAGTATAAGTTGTGTTATTCTATTTGATGTTATTGTAAATGGAATTGTTTCCTTAATTTCATTTTCAGATTGCTCATGGCAAGAATATGGAAATACAGTTGATTTTTGTATATTGGTCTGGTATCTTGACCCTTACTAAACTCACTTATTAGTTCTAATTGTTTCTTAGTTGATTCCTTAGGATTTTCTGGATAAAGATTTTGTCATCTACAGATAAAGACAGTTTTAAATATTTCTGTCCATATTGGATGCTTTTTAATTTTTTTTCTTGGTTAGAACCTCCAGTACAATGTTAAATAGAATAGTGAAAATGGACATGCTTGCCTTGTTCTTAATCATATGGGGAGACAACTAGTGTTTCATCGTTAAGTATGATACTAGCTGTAGGTTCTTCCTAGATGCCCTTTATCAGTTTGAGGAAGTTTTCTTCTACTCCTAGTTTGTTGAGTGCTTTTATCATGAAAATGTGTTGGATTTTGACAAATGCATTTTCTGCTTTTATTAAGATGCTCTATTTATATAGTGTTTTATTGATTTGTAATCAATTGGGGGATAGTAAACTAACTTTATATTCCTAGACAAATCTCACTTGGTCATGGTGTATAATTATTTTTATATGTTGCTGGATTTCTTTGCTAGTTATGTAGGGGGTCTGCAAGACCACCATTGGTTTGATGATTTGCTAGGAGGACTCATAGAACCCAGAAAAGCTGTTATACTCATGGTATGCCTTATTACAGTGATAGAGTTTACTAGTCTAAGTCTGGACTTTTGTTCGTGGGAAGATTTTTATTTGCTAAGTTTCTTTCCTTGATATAAATCTATTCAGATTATCTACTTGTTCTTGAGTCAGCTTTGGTAATTTGTGTCTTTCAAGGAATTTTAAAATTTCATCTAAATTGTCAAAGTCATTGACATAAACTTTTTCATAATATTCTTTTATTGGTCATTTATGTTTGTAGCATCTTTATATGTCTTTAATCCCTGATATTGCTACTTTATGTCTTCTCTCTTTTTCTTCACCAGTAGCTAAAATATATCAATTTCATTAATTTTTAAAAATAATTAGGTTTTGATTTCACTAATTTTTATCTATTTGTCTGTTTTTTATTTCATTGATTTCCATTCTGACCTTGATGTTTTTTCCTTTCTACTTACTTTGGGTTTAATTTGCTCTTTTTTTTCCCCTAGCTTTTTAAGTTCAAAGCTTAATCAATGATTTGAAACCTTTTTGTTGGCTAATATAAGCATTTAAATAGAGGTAGTCCTCGTTTTGTGTGGTAATGGGGAACCATAAAAATGACTATTGAAGCTGAAACTTTGCAAAGTAATCTTCATAATCAGTGGGAAAAATTACAATGGTTTTGTGACCATTAAGAATTTTTTCCAAAACTTTAAAAGCTGTTTTACTGTTTGTTATAAATATATAGGAAATGAAAACACAGTAAAACTAATATTTATTTATTACCCTGAAATTTAAAACATTGGCAGCATTTTGAATGTGTTTTTTTTTCCCCAAAAAACTTGTGAAGAGTAGTTTTAACAGTGTTTGCCATCTTCTTGTATAACTTATGATATGGAATGAGCATGTTTTCTATACCTAGGTGAATTGTCATAATCCTTTCTAAGTTTGGATCCATTCCAACATTTTATCCTTTGTGCTTACAATATTGTGAAATATGTCCAGGAGTTTATGTGAAGATTTTTTTTTATGACATTACTTTCTTTGCACTACCTTTGTCCTTGTCATCACAACCAGTTTTTATATTTATAGTAAGTTAATAAGTTTGCTTTTACTCAATTCCTCTACTTTGTATCTAAAGTCTCTTGAATGGCAGCAGTGTCGACATTTCCAGTCAGCCATCTTCTACTCAAAAACAATATTGTTAATGTTGTTTCCTTTCTGAATTTTTATCTTTGTTGTCCAATTCACTCTTCTAATTATCAGTTTTTATAAAATTTCATGTGGGCTTATCACTGGGAGACAAGCAAGGAACATAAACTACACACTTTGCTCTCTGTGAGCATACTGGATGACAGATGTGCAACTAATAATCATTGACAGACTTTGAAATAAGTGAAATGACTGGTCACTGATCATGATGTATATCTGTTACATACATAATGATTTGTAGACTGAAGAGCTAGCAGTATAGTTTGTACTCCATGCCATTATTCACAGATACTATATTGAAGTTTGAACTGTGTTGCTGGCAGACTGGCATTATTTAGCTAACCTGTGGTAATTGAAATTCCTGCATGTCAGAATTCTGCAAAGTAAGGACTACCTGTATCTATATATTTTTTTCTCTAAGCACTGCTTTAGTTTTATCTCACAAATTTTGACATTTTGTGTTCTCATATTAATTAAATTCAAGTTACTTTCTAATTCCTCTTTTGACTTTCTCATTGACACATAGGTTATTTTATAAGTGTGTTTAATTTTCTAATATTTGGGGGGACTTCTGAGATGTCTTTTTATTATTTATTTCTAATTAATTCCATTATGGTTGGTTAATATACTCTGAATGATTTCCATTCTTATAAAATCATTGCAATGTGTTTTCAGGTCAAGAATACAGTCTATTCTGATGAATATCCATGTGTCCTTGAAGTGAAAGTGTATTTTGTTATTAGATGGGTGTTTATAGATGTTGATTAGATCAGATTGGTTGATACTTATTGGTGTTTTGTCTATTTTTAAAATAAATAATTGTTAAGAGGAGTATTAAAATCACTAGCTGTAATTGTTAATTTGTCTCATTTTTTCTTTTATTTTTCTCAGTTTTAGTTTTATGTATTGTGGGGCTCTTTCTGTAGGTGATATACATTTATCATTGTTACATCTTTTTGCTGTAGTAATCCTTTGGCAGCATCATTTGAAATGTACCTTTCATTCTAATAATATTTGTTGTCTTAAAGTGTATATTTTGTGATACTAACACAGCTACTCCAACTCTAAAACACAATTTGTGTGGTAACTTTTCCTATCCTTTCATTTTCAAGCTTTTTTTTTTTTTTTTTTGAGACGGAGTCTCGCTCTGTCGCCCAGGCTGGACTGCGGACTGCAGTGGCACAATCTCGGCTCACTGCAAGCTCCGCTTCCCGGGTTCACGCCATTCTCCTGCCTCAGCCTCCCGAGTAGCTGGGACTACAGGCGCCCGCCACCGCGCCCGGCTAATTTTTTGTATTTTTAGTAGAGACGGGGTTTCACCTTGTTAGCCAGGATGGTCTCGATCTCCTGACCTCATGATCCACCCGCCTCGGCCTCCCAAAGTGCTGGGATTACAGGCATGAGCATTTTCAAGCTTTTAAAGTGAATGTCTTTTAGACAACATATAGTTGGTTCTTACTGTTTTATCCAGTTTACAATTTCTGTCTTTTGATTGGAGTATTATTGCATTCCCAGTTAATTTCATTATTGATTTGATTTGTCCTTTCCATTTTACTACTGGTTTAATTTGATTTTTGGCCTCTTTTTCTTTTATTGTTTTCTTTGAAAGAAATACTTTTTAGTATATTAATTCCTCTGTTAAATTTTTAGCTGTAGTTCTGTGTTTATCTGGAAATGTCTTTTGTTTTTTGTGTGTGAGGAGAATGTTTTTCTAGGGATTACAATATGATATTTGGCCTCTTACAACCTACTTCAAGTTAATGTTGCTTTTTTTTTCTTGGAAAAAATATAGAAATTTTGCACTAGCATAGCTCCATTCCCTACCCCTCTCGACCCTCCTGTACTCCTTTGTCCTTTGTGGTCACATATATTTGTCATAAATTCAACAATACAGTGTTATATTTGCTTTTGAAAGTCTTTTAACAAAATTAGAAGAAAAGAGAAAAAAGTGTTTACATTCAATTTACCTACTGTGTTAGTCCATTTTCTGCTGTTATAACAGACTGGGAAATTTACAATGAACAGAAATGTATTTGGCTCATGATTCTGGAGCCTGGGAATTCCAGAAGCATGGCTCTGACATCTGGGTGAGAGCCTTCATGCTGCATGGCAGAAGGCAGAATAGCAACAGAACGTATCAGAGTAAAAGGAAGGGAGCTGAACTCATACTGTTATCATGAACCGCCTCTCACGAAAACTAACCCACTCCTGTGACAACATTAAAGCATTCATGAGGGCAGAGCTCTCATGACATAATCACCTCTTGAAGGTCCCAACTCTCAACACTGTTGCATTGGGAATTAAGTTTCCAACACATGAACTGTGAGGGGCATTCAAACTGTAGCACCTGCATATTTTAAAAAATGTAAAATCCTGTGTATTTGAGATGCCATTGATATTCAGCTAGATGGTAGATCTGTTCTCCTGGCAACATATTTTTGTTTATCTGAAATGCCTTCATTTTGCCATCATTTTTAAGGGAGATTTTCATTGAATATAGTATTCTTGGTTGACAAGTTGTTTTCCTTCGACACTTTTAATATGTTATTCCAGTGTTTTCTGGCCTCCATTTTTTGTTCTTGAAAAATCAACTGAGGCCAGGCATGGTGGCTCATGCCTTTAATCCCAGCACTTTGGGAGGCCAAGGCGGGTGGATCACAAGGTCAGGAGTTCGAGACCAGCCTGGCCAAGATGGTGAAACCCCATCTCTACTGAAAATACAAACATTAGCCAGGCGCAGTGGCAGGCATGTGTAATCCCAGCTACTCAAGAGGCTGAGGCAGGAGAATCACTTGAAACCAGGAGGCGCAGGTTCCAGTGAGGCAAGATCATGCCACTGCATTCTAGCCTGGGCAACACAGCAAGACTCCATCTCAAAAAAAAAAAAAAAACAAAAAAAAGAAAAGTCAACTGACAATTCTATTATTCTCCTATGTATGAGGTGTTATTTTCCTCTTGCTGCTTTCAAGATTTTCTTTGTCTTTATTTTTCAGTAGCTTAATTGTTATGCGTCTAGGTATCCTACCTGTGGTTTATTCAGTTTCTTGGATCTGTAAGTTACTGTTTTCTAGCCAATTTGGTAATATCTCAGACATTTTTTCAAATATGTTTTCCACCTCTTTCCTACACATGTGCTGAAATGCTTAATATTGTTTCCCAGAACTCTGATGTTATGCTTAATTTTCTTAAATTTTTTTTTTCATTTTGCCCTTTGGATTGGATAATTTCTAGTGGTCTTCAAGTTTACTGATTCTGATTTTCTCATCTACTTTTTCAAATCTACCAAGGAGCTCATCTGGTGGAATTTTCATTTTAACCTTAGAATTTCCATTTGGTTCTTTTCTCTTTAAATTTATTTTTAAGTTTACATAAAATGAAGTGTACTCTTTCTTTACATTGTGACAATGGCATAGATTCATTTAGCTACCATCACAATCATAATATAGACCAGTTCCATTGCTCTTAAAATTTTGTTTACTACCACTCTTTATTGTTATATACTTTTTTCTTCTTTGAAAGTATCTAGGTCTTTACTAATCCTTTAGTATGGTTTTCTTTAGTTATTTTAATATATTTACAGTAGCTTCTTTTAAGTCTTTGCTAAATCGAACATCTGTGCCCACTTGGAGCATTTCTATTGATTTTCTTCCTGAGTATGGGTTACAGTTTTCTGCTTCTTTACATGTCTAGTAACTTTAGGTTGAAAACTGTACATTGGAGATAATTTGTTGTAGTATTCTGGACTCTTCTTGTTCTTCTGACAGTGGAGGTTTTATTTTACAGATAATTTATTCAGAATCAAACTATGACATCTCTTTTCCCGATGGTGTGCTATTGCTGATGTCTCTGCTTATTTTTTTTTTTTTTTTTTTTTTTTGAGACGGAGTCTCGCTCTGTCGCCCAGGCTGGAGTGCAGTGGCGGGATCTCGACTCACTGCAAGCTCCGCCTCCCGGGTTCTCTGCTTATTTTTTTATATATTTATTTTATTTTTAAAATCCTGGCCCCCAGTGGACTCCCCTGCCCCTGCATAAAATAGAGATGAACTAGTGATTTGGACAGAGGTTATATTAGACATCAAAAGCCAGTAAAGCTTCCACACATTGACACCTAAATTGTGCGTGGATTAGAACAATTTAGGCATGGATTCAAAGGTATAGCAAGTTTGCAAGTCTTTCTAGATTTTCAATCATTGCTTGACTCTCTAGGGTCTTCTTGCAGAAACGTTTTAGCAACCTGGTGGGGATATATGAAGAGTTTGTTATTTCAGATTTGTTTTTTGTTTGTTTGTTTTTTTGTTTACAAAGAGACAGGTCTCACTATGTTGCCCAGGCTGGTCCCAAACTTGTAGCTCAAATGATCCTCCTGCCTCTACCTCCCAACATGCTGGAATTTCAGGTCATGTGTCCAGCCTATTATTTCAGTTTTTTAATGACTCTGTTGCTTCCAGTTTCTCCTTGTTAAATATTTAGCCACTCTACTATAGTGTCAAACTGGGTTTCTCACCTCTGTTTTTAATGCCACATGAACTGCGGGTGATAGTTGCAGAAAACCTAGGAAAGAATGCCATAACTTTACTTTCTTACCCAATGAAATAACAGTTTTTGATTAATAAACATTTTACAATTTGTGGCCTGTCTTTCTAATTTCTCATTGCTCTGATTTGGTGTTTTAAAAATCATTTTATTTCATATTATATTTGTTTTCTGAGTAGAGGACTAAATCTTTATTATATCTGTTTTATTTTATTTTTTTTCAGACAGAGAGAGTAGACTTGACACCCCTCAACTGGATATATTTAGAGATGTTTTCTTCCATAAGGAGACACTGGAAAGTATTACAAGGGGTCATTCATTGTACTCCATTTTAAAAGTCTGGCAAGGTGATGACCAGCTGGAGAGAGATCAGGAAAACTGAGACAAATTTGTCAGGCAAGTTGTAGTCATCAACAACAAAAGAATATCTGAAGAGTCAGGTCATCCATATAATATATTTGGAAAAATATTTCATGACTGCACAGACCTAGATACTTCAAAACAAAGACTGTGTAAGTGTGATTCATTTGAAAAGACCTTGAAACCAAATATTAACCTAGTGAGTTATAATAGGAATTTTGCAAGAAAAAACATTGATGAGAATTTTAGATGTGGGAAAACACCTAGCTACAGTTCTTGCTATTCTAAGCATGAAAAAAATCATAGTGGAATGATACACTGTGAAGCTACTCATTGTGGAAAGATTCTTAGCAATAAACAATCTCTTATTCATTATGTGAATGTTGAAACTGGGGAGAAGACCTATGTATGTGTTGAATGTGGAAAATCCTTTCTCAAGAAGTCACAGATTATTATACATCAAAGAATTCATACTGGAGAGAAACCTTATGATTGTGGTGCATGTGGAAAAGCCTTCAGTGAGAAGTCACACCTTATTGCACATCAGAGAACTCATACTGGGGAGAAACCTTATGATTGTTCTGAATGTGGAAAAGGCTTTTCTCAGAAATCATCCCTCATTATACATCAGAGAGTTCACACTGGGGAAAAACCATATGAATGTAGTGAATGTGAGAAAGCCTTCTCCCAGAAATCACCCCTCATTATACATCAGAGAATACATACTGGGGAAAAGCCCTATGAATGTAGAGTGTGGGAAAGCCTTTTCCCAGAGTCACAGCTGATTATACATCACAGAGCTCATACTGGAGAGAAGCCATGTAAGTGTACTGAATGTGGGAAAGCATTCTGTTTTATACATTAAAGAGTTCACACTGGTGAGAAACCCTACAAATGTGCTCAATGTGAGGAAGCCTTCAGCAGGAAGTCAGAACTCATTATACATCAGATAATTCATACTGGGGAGAAACCGTATGAATGTACAGAATGTGGGAAAACATTCTCTCGCAAGTCACAACTCATCATACATCAGAGAACCCACACTGGAGAGAAACCCTATAAATGTACCAAATGTGGAAAATCCTTCTGTCAGCAGTCACATCTCATTGGACATCAGAGAATTCACACGGGAGAACAACCTTATGTATGTTCTGAATGTGGGAAAGCCTTCTCTCAGAAGTCTCACCTCCCAGGGCATTGGTGAATTCATACAGGAGAGAAACCTTACATATGTGCTGAATGTGGAAAGGCCTTTTCTCAGAAGTCAGACCTTGTTGTACATCAGATAATTCATACTGGAGAGAAACCTGATCGATGTACTGTATGTGGGAAGGCCTTCATCCAGAAGTCCCAACTCACTGTACATCAGAGAATTCATACACTAATGAAATCATAAGAATGGTCTGAACACAGAAAAGCCTTCAGGGTCAGTTCAAGCCTTAATAGATAGTGCAACAACCAATGGATTTGATGATTTTGGGGACTACATCTTTGTTGATAAAATTTTACAAGTGAAGTCATGTTCCTAATGTATTTCATTCTTTATCAAAGATAATAGAGAAGTCAATACGTAAATGATGGACATTTTCACTATGGCATATAAAAGTTTTTAAATTGAGAAATGAATGATTAGCATAACAGAACGAATTGCATGTACATCTCTTTTGAAGTTATGTGCTCCTGATTATACTACATAACAATCAGATATGTGTAAGATTGTTAATGTTAGCCTAGTATAATTTTGGTTATGCAGTTCTTCACTATAGAGGACATCAAGAAAGTCTGCATTTGAAAATGCCAATATCTAGAAATTGTATTTGAGGGAAGGGACTTGCCATGCACTCCTAAAGGTATATGTAAAATTTTTCTTGTAGAAAGAGACACTCATTTATAAATATTCCATGCCAGGTAAGGATGGCACATAAGTAATTTCCAGTTGGTGAAACTTCAACAGACATGAGGAGGAAAACCTATCACAAGGTTCCTATCTATGTAGAATTTAGACAAACAAGGGGGAGGGAGGATGGGCTAAGTATTCTAGTTATCTTTCAAGAGAAAGTCTTTCAGGAGTGGATGTCTCACTGTTCTGGTCTACCCCTGAAAAGAACCTGTTCTGAGAAATACAAATGACATCAATCAGGCCCTTATTTGAGGTGAAAGGCAATGATGGAGAGACTGACAGTATAACCAGAAATTCTAAAGAATCTACAAGAAAGTTCTAGAACTAGTAAGATAGTTTCATAATATTACAGGATCCAAAGTTTGTTATAAAAAACAATTATATGGTTATATATTAGCAACAAGCAAATGGAAAACTCAAAGATCCAATACCAAAATGAATTGGGATGTGATTAGCTCTCCCGCCATAAACAATTTCCCACCATGGTAGCAGTTTGCAAAAACAAAAGTAGGATCCTGATATTGCTAGCCAAGTTACAGATCGGTTCCATCACCACAAGGATCCCTCATATAGCCCTTTCATAGCCACACTCACCTCTATCTGTCCCGCAGCACCTGATCCCTAGTGACCACTAATCTTCATTTCTACAATTGTGTCATTTAAAGAATGTACTATAAATGGAATCATATGGTATGTGATCTTTGAGTACAGCTTTTCTTACTCAGCATTATTCCCTGGAGATTCATCCAATTTGTTGTATGTATTGGTAATTTTCTCCTGGAGTGATGTCAGCAAGATGACAGAATAGAAATTCTCTGGGCCGGGCGCGGTGGCTCACGCCTGTAATCCCAGCACTTTGGGAGGCCGAGGCGGGTGGATCATGAGGTCAGGAGATCGAGACCATCCTGGCTAACAAGGTGAAACCCCGTCTCTACTAAAAATACAAAAAAAATTAGCCGGGCGCGGTGGCGGGCGCCTGTAGTCCCAGCTACTCGGGAGGCTGAGGCAGGAGAATGGCGTGAACCCGGGAAGCGGAGCTTGCAGTGAGCCGAGATTGCGCCACTGCAGTCCGCAGTCCCGCCTGGGCGACAGAGCGAGACTCCGTCTCAAAAAAAAAAAAAAAAAAGAAATTCTCTGGCTCTAATCTCCCTCACAGAAATCAAGTAGCAACTATCCATAGACAGACATATCTTTGTAAATATCCCAGAGAAAAGGAGTAAGTTTGAGGTGCCCCTTGGATTGCAGAACTGAAAAAAATCTGAAGGTTAAAAAGAATGGTTTCAGCTGGGCATGGTGGCTCACACCTGTAATCTCAACACTGGGAGGCTGAGGCGGGCAGATCACCTGAGGTCGGGAGTTTGAGACCAGCCTGGCCAACATGGAGAAACCCCGTCTCTACTAAAAATACAAAATTAGCTGGGTGTGATGGCAGGTGCCTGTAATCCCAGCTACTCGGGAGGCTGAGGCAGGAGAACCGCTTGAACCCAGAAGGCAGAGGTTGCGGTGAGCCGAGATTGCACCATTGCATTCCAGCCTGGACAACAAGAGTGAAACTTTGTCTCAGAAAAAAATAGAAGAATGGTTTCACTTTAGTGGTGTCACCCCTCCCTCACTTTGGCACAGCACCACACAAAGAGGATTCCCCAGGACCTATGGTTTCTACAGTGGGAAAAAAAGTTGAAGATGAATATTTTGCTTCCCCACCATTCTGGGACCCATTACAGGATGCCAGACCTTATCTTGCCCCAAACAGAACATTGAGGATATCAGCAGGGATAGAACACCTGGGGTCAGTTAGAAACAAAAGGTGGGGATGGGGTTCACAGTGACCAGTGTCTTGACACTGGCTCTGCATTCTGGACAATGGAGATGCTTCATCACAGAAACTTGCCAACAGCATTACTCTACAAGGATGCACAGTCCTACAGCTTTTCCAGGCATCAGTCCTTAGCCAGCTTCTCCACCAGGACCTGGGGCTCTGCTTGAGCATTTCTGATGCTGGGAGGCAAGTGCAGGTTCACAAATATTTGTGGAAGGGAGTAGCTGACCCCAACCAAACCCAGCATCCTATTGGGGGCTCCACTAAACCCCAGAGCTCGCTTAAGCACTCCCAAGGCCAGGAGGCAAGTGCAGAACTGTATCTGCGGATGGAGTGCATGGCTCCACCAATCCCCAGCAGTCAAGTGGTGATTCCAGAGACCTCACCCAACCTTATAGCCCAGCTCGTAGGCCTGCCCACTTCCAGATTCTAAACAGCACTACAACCCAGTCAGGAAAGACAGCCTGAAACTCTATTCAATCAACCTGCAAAGACCATACAGCAGCTCTGCCTGACTGGAGTCTGGCCAGTGGTCCCATCAGACGATGGAGCACATCGAGCAGTTCCACTTCACCTCACAGCACACACAGCAGCCCAGCACACTTAGAGAACTTGGTGGCAAGGTCTGCCTGTCCAGGTTTGCTGTTAGCTGGGCCATCCAGAATCCCAGGCTGGCTTAAATTCTAAAAGTTTATCACTGCCAAAGAACAACTGCAAAGGTTGTAAGAGGTGGTTATTTCCTCAAAAATGCAGGCACTCTTAGAAGTACACAAGGATTATTTAAAAATTAGGGAAATATTACACTACTAAAACTAATACATCTTCAATAATAGACCCTGAAAAATGGAGGTCTATGAAATGACTGATAAAAAATTTAGAATAACCCTCTTAAAGAAGCTCAGAGAACTACAAGAAAATGCAGATAGCAAACTAAATATTAATGGAATTTGGAAAACAATTCATGAACAAAATAAGAAATTTAACAAAGAAATAAAAACAGCTGAAAAATATAAATCCTGGAGATAATAACTATAATAACTGAACTGAGAAATTCAGTAGAAAGCTTCAACAGAAGACATGATCAAGCAGAAGAAAGAATCAGTGAGCTTAAAGACAAGACATTTGAAATTATTTAGTCAGAGGAACAAAAAGAAAAGAATTTCAAACAATCATGAAGACTTATGGGAATTATGAGACACCATCAAGAGAATGAATATTCACACAATATAATTTTCAGAAGGAGAATGTAGAAAAAAGGAAATAATGGCTGAAATTTTTCAAAATTTGGAGAATAATAACAGCATCCAGGTATAAGACACCAACAGTGGCCTCCAATTAAATTCAACCAAAAGAATATTTCACCAGGACACATCATATTCAAATTTTCAAAAATCAAAGACAAAGTATTCTGAAGGTAACAAGAGATAAGAATTACATCATATTCAAGTGAGTCTCCTGAGATCAGATGAGATTGGGCGCGTTCAGGGTGGCATGGCCGTAGACTCAAGTGAGTCTCAATATGGCTATCAGCAGATCTTTGAGCAGAAAGCCTGGAGGCCAGGGAAGAGAGTCAGACTATATATAATGTGCTGAAGGGTGAAAAAACTACTAATCAAGATACTTTACCTAACAAAGCTGTTGCTCAGAAATGGGGGAGAAATAACTTTCTCAAACAAACAGAAGCTAAAGTATTTCATCACCACTAGGCTTGCCTTAAAGAAACTGCTAAAGGGATTTTTTTTCATTAAGCTGAAATAAAAGACTGCAAATGAATAACACAAAACATAGAAAAGTAAAAAGACCTCAATGGTATAAGTAATATAATCAATATTCAGAATACGCTAATACTGTAAGGGTGGTGAGTAAAGCAATTTTATCTCTGCTATGAGGGTTACAGGATAAAACTATTTTAAAAACTGTAGCTACAATACGTTGTTAAGAAATACAAATTACAAAAAGATGTAAAATTTGACATCAATATCATAAAAGATGTTTTGGAAATTAATCTAGAGATTTTTGTATACAATTAAAGTTAAGTTGTTATCAGCTTAAAATAACTATTATAAGAATAAGATTTTTAAAAGCCTCACAGTAGCCCCAAAGCCAAAAACCTATAGTAGTTGCACAAAACATAGTAAGAAAGTACGAAAAGCATACCACCAAAGGTAACCATCAAACCACAATGGAAAACAGTGAGAGGAAGAAAGAAACAATCTACTAAGCAACCAGAAAATAAATTATAAAATGGCAAGAGAAGGTCCTTACCTATCAATAATTACCTCTTATGCAAATGAATTAAATTATCCAATCAAAAGACATAGAGAGACTGAATAGATGTAACAAACATAACCAAACTATATGCTGCCTACGAGATACTCATTTTACTAGTAAGGGCACATATTAAAAGTGAAGGAATAGAAAAAGATATTCCACACAAATCGGAATCAAAAGAGAGAAGAAGTAGCTATTCCCTTGTCAGAAAAAGATAGACTTTAAGTTAAAATTATAAAGAAAAGACAAAGTCTTTATATGATAATGATTGGGTCAATTCATCAAGAGGCTACAACAATTGTGAATTTATAGGCACCAAACATCAGAGCACTTAAATACAAAAAGGAACTATTGATTTGAAGAGAGAGACAGACTGCAATATAATAATAATAGAAGACATCAATACTGCACTTTTAACAACAGACAGGTCATCTAGACAGAAAATCAATAAGGAAACATCGGACTTAAACTGTACTTTAGACCAAATGAACCTAACAGACATATACAGAACAATCCATCCAACAATAAAATACACATTTTTCTTAAGTGTACACAGAACATTTTCTAGAATAGATCATACATTAGGCACAAAACAGGTCTTAACAAATTTAAGAAGATTGAAGTCATAACAAGTATCTTCTTCAATCACAATGGCATACTACTAGAAATCAATAACAGTACTTCAAACTTATTCTATGAGGCTAGCATTACCCTAATACTAAACAGAAGAAATCTGGGAAAATTCTCAAATATGTAGAAATTAAACAACATGCTTCTAACAACCAATGGGTCACAGATGAAATGAAAATGGATGTGAAAAAAAATCTTGAGATAACCTAAAACTTATTGGATATGGCAGAAGCAGTCCTAAGAGGGAAACTTATACCAATAAATGCTTATATCAAAAAAGATGATAGATCTCAAATAAATCACTTGACAATACACCTCCAGGAACTAAAAAAAGAAGAACAAATTAAAGTGATCAGAAGGAAGGAAACACTAAAGATCAGCACAGAAATAAAGAGATTAGGAAAACAGAAAAAATTAATAAAACTAAGAAATTTTTTTAAAAAAATAAAATAGACAAACCCTTACCTAGACTCACTAAGAAAAAAGAAGGCTCAAATAAAATCAGAAGCAAAAGAGGAGACATTACAACAGAGAGGACAGAAATACAGAAGATCATACGAAATTACTATGGACAACTATGTTTCAACAAATTGAATAATCTGGATGAAATGGATAACTTCCTAGACACATAACAACTACGAAGACAGACTCATTAAGAAATAGAAAGCCTGAACAGACCAATAACAAATAAGGAGACTGAATCAGTAAAAAAGTCTTCCATCAATGAAAAGTCTATGTATTAGTCCATTCTAATGTGCTATGAAGAAATATCTGACACTGGGTAATTTATAAAAGAAAGAGTTTTAATTGAATGACAGTTCTGTATGGCTGGGGAGGTCTCAGGAAACTTACAGTCATGGTGGAAGGGGAAGCAAACATGTCCTTCTTCACATGATGGCATGATAGAGAAGGGCCAAGCAAAAGTAGGAAAGCCCCTTATAAAACCATCAGATCTTGTGAGAACTCACTATCATAAGAACAGCATGGGAGTTACTGCCCCCTTGATTCAATTACCTCTCATTGGGTCCCTCCCATGACACGTGGGGATTATGGGAACTATAATTCAAGATGAGATTTGGGTAGGGACACAGCCAAACCATATCAGTCTAGTACATGATGGCATCTCTGATGAATTCTACAAGACATTTTTTTTTAAAAAAAGAAACAATATCAATCCTTCTCAAACTCTTCCAAAAATTAAAGTGGAAGGAATACTTCTAAATTTATTCTATGAGATTAGCATTACCTTGATACCAAAGCCAGATAAGAACAGTATAAGAAAACTACAGGGCAATATCCCCAAATGAATATAGATGCAAAAATCCTCAATAAAATACTAGTAAATCAAATTCAACAACACACCAAAAAAGTTATTCACCATGATGAAGTAAAATTTATCTTTGGAATGCAAGTATGATTCAATATACACCTATCTATAAAGGTGATATACTGTATCAGCAAAGTGAAAGATAAAAAAACCCTAGGATCACCTCCATAGAGGCAGAGAACACATTTGACAAGTTCAACACCGTTTAATGATTTAAAAAACTCCCAACAGATTAGGTATAGAGGCAATATACTTCAAAACAAAAAAGGCAATATACAGAAACCCATAGCTAGCATTATATTCAATGGTGAAGAGTTGAAAGCTTTTCCTCTGAGACCAGAGACAAGACAAGGATACCTACCTTTACCACTATTGAACATATTACTGCAAGTCCTAGCCACAGCAGTTAGGCAAGAGAAATAAATAAAAGGCATTCAAATGGAAAAGAAAGAAGTTAAACTATCCCTGTGTATTGACATAATCTTATATACAGAATATGCAAAAGATGCCTCCAAAAAGCTGTTAGAACTGATAAACAAATTCAGTAAAATTTCAGTATATAAAATCAATACACAAAAATCAGTAGCCTTTCTGTACACTTGCAATGAACTGTCCAAAAAGGTAATTAATAAACTACTCCATTCATTAATAGCAACAAAACAAATAAATACCAATGGTAAATTTAACCAAGAAGCTGGAAGACCTGTATACTGAAAACTATAAAACAATGATGAAAGAAATAGAAGAAAAGTCATATAAAAGATTTCCCATGTTCACATACTAGAAGAGATAATATTATTAACAATTTTGCAGAATTTGCTCATTTTTTCTAAGTTATCAAATTTATGATCATGACGTTTTTTGTTGTATACTTTTATCACTCTTTTAATGACTGGGATTTATGGTGATATTCACACTTTTAGTACTGATAATGGTTATTTGCGTCTTCTCCCTTTTTATCTTTGTCTAATTATATGTTTATCAGGTTTGTTGACATTTTTAGAGAACTCATCTTTTGTTTTATTAATTTTCTTTAGTTTTTTCCTCTTCACCTCTCTGTGTGTGTGTGAGATTGAGTCTCACCCTGTCACCCAGGCTGGAGTGCAGTGGCATGATCTTGGCTCATTTGCAACCTCCACCTCCTCCTGGGTTGAAGTGATTCTCCTGCCTCAGCCCCCTGAGTAGCTGGGATTACAGACCCGTGCCATCACACCTGGCTAATTTTTGTATTTTTAGTAGAGACGGTGTTTTGCCATGTTGGTCAGGCTGGTCTCAAACTCCTAACCTCAGATGATTCACCCACCTTAGCCTCCCAACATGCTGGGATTATAGGTGTGAACCACCATGCCTGGCCCTCTTCACCTCATTTACTTTCTTTTTCATACTTTGAGTTATTTTTCTATTTTTTTCTAGTTTCTTGAGGTAGGTGTTTAGAGTATTCTACTGAGACTTTTCCTTTTTTCTAAAGCAAGTTTTTAGTGTATAAAACCTCCATCTCTGCACTACTTTAGCTGCATGCCACAGATTTTGATATGGAGTGTTTTCATTTTTATGTATTTTATTAATTGTCTTTGAGATTTATTTTTGACAATGAATTATTTAGAAACTTGTTGTTTAGTATCAAAATATTTTGAGATCTTTCTTTTGTCTGTTATTAATTTCTACTTTGGTCCTATTATTGTTAGAAGACAAACTCTGCAGGATTTCAGTTGTTTAAATGTGCTGTGGTTTGTTTTAGCATCCAGGATATGGGCTTTCTTGGTGAGTGTTTCATGGATGTTTGAGTGAATGTCCTATGAATTCTTGAAAAAAAGTGTATTCTGCTATTATGTGTAGTGCTCTACATTTGTCAGTTGTATCCTGTTTATATTTCTTCTTTCACTTCTATCAGCTTTTACCTCATGTGTTTTAAGAATGTTGTTTGGTGCATACACATTTAATATTGTTATATATTCCCAATGAATTTATTCTTTTATGTTATGTAATTCATTTCTTTGTCTCTAGATTTTTTTTCCTTTCTTGAAGTCTACTTCATTAATATAGCCACCCCTTTCTGCCCTTTGACTAATGTTTTCATGGAATTTTTGTCCTGTTACTTTTAACCTACCTATGATATTTTATTTGAATTGAGTTTCCTGTAGACAGTATATTTTGGGGTCATATTTTTTCCCACTCTGTCAATCTCTCTCATTTAATTGGTGTATTTAGATTATTTTCATTTAAGGTAATTATTGATTTGGTAAGCCTAATTTTGCATTTTATTATTTTTTGTTTGTTTCTTGTTCCTGTTTCTGCTTTCCTTCATTCTTCTGTATATATTAAATTTTTAGGATTCTAACTTGATTTGTTTATAGTGTTTTTAAGTATATAGTTTTGTATAGTTTTCTCAGTGGTTGTTCTAGGTATTATAATATACATACATAACTTCTCACAATCTGCTATTGACATTTTACTAGAGTGAATTATATAATCTTATTTCTTTTTAGTTGTTTACCCTCCCCCTTAAAAATGTAATTATTTATTTTGTCTACATGTATTCTGTACCATGTAAGATTATGTCTTTGCCTCAACCTTCAAATATGATTTAAGAAACTCATAAGCTGTATTATAGCCTATTATATTTAACCTTATTTTATCCATCCTAGTGTTCTTTTCTAAAGTTCCAAATTTAAAAAAATAATTTCCTTTCTATTTAGGTAATTTTCTTTAGCCATTCTTGAAGGGTAGGTTTGCTAACAACAAATTCTCTTAGTTTTCCGTTATCAGAGAGTATCTTTATTTTTCTTCATTCCTAAATGATATTTTTGCCGGATAATAAATTTAAGGCAGAAAGTTTTCTTTCACACCTGAAAATGGGCCTCTTCCTCTGACCATCATGATTTCATATGAGGAATCTGCTGTCATTAGAATTGGTGCTCTCCTATAAGTAATGTGTCATTTGTCTCTGGCTACTTTCAAGATATTTTTCTTGCAGTTTTCAGAAGTTTAATTATGATGTTTCTTGGCATGGATTTCTTTAGGTTTATCCTACTTGGGGTTCACTCAACATTTTGAATATTTAGGTTTATGTCTTTCACCAAATTTGGGAAATTTCTAGCTGTATTTCTTTGAATGGTTTTTTAATCCAGTATCTTTCTCCTTTCCTGGTACTTTAATGATACTAATTATTTTAGTATTTTCCCGGATGCCTGTCTTTGTTAGTTCCTTTAAGTCTATTTTTTATCTGTTTTGTTCATATTGGGTAAATTCTATTGATCTGTCCCCAAGTTCACTGTTTCTATCCTCTGTCATCTCCAGTCTAGTACTGAATCCATGTAGTTAATTTTTCATTTTGGTCATAATTATTTTTCAGTTCTATAATGTCCATTTGTTTCTTTAGAAAAGAATTTTACTTCCTTGCTGTTTCTATTTTTGCATTTGTTTTAAGAGAATTCATAATTGCTTCTTGAAACACTTTTATGATGGCTACATAAAAATCCTTAGATTTAAAAACAATTATGTTAAAAATAAATATTCCAACATTATGTTTATCTCAGTATTGGTCTCTGTTTCTTGTCTTTTCTCATTCATGTTATTTTTCTGGTTCTTGGTATGAGTGACTTACTGTAATATTCAGGACATTTTGGAGATATTTATGAGAGTCTGGGTCCTATTCAGTTTTTCTTTCACAAGTATTCTCTCTGATGAGATGCAATGTGAGGATTGAGTGTGTATGTATCTTCAGTTTTCTTATGAGCCCTTATGACACCATTTTTGCAAAGTGGGCACTGACTGACACTGCTTCTTTGCAGATGAATGAGGTGGAAGTTCATATTGTGCCTTGGTCTCACTGATATCTTCCTGGAGAATGTAAGAAACTGGTTTGCATTTGTCTTGTTGCCACTGAGTTGGGGTAAAATATTTTTCTCCCTCTATTTTGCTGGACCCTGCTGCCAGTAGGTAGTGGGGAGCAGGGAGCTTAGAGAGCTCACTCACACTTCTTTGTTGTTATAGGATAGAGGGAACTCTCATACATTGTGGTTGGAAAGGAGAAGTATGATCACTTTTTAAACAGTTTGGCATTTTAGAAAGAAGTTAAGCATCTTTCTACTATATCACCTAACCATTTCACTCCTAGGTGTTTACCTGAGAGGAAAAAAACGCATATGCTTATAAAAAGACTCATATATCAGTTTTCACAGCAGCTTTATTTGTAATAGCTCCAAATTGGAAACAATCCGAATATTTATCAACAGGTAAATAAACAAAATAGATACACAACAAAGAAGCTAAAAATGATTATGCTAAGTGAAAGAAACAAGCCAAAAATACGTACTGTACAGTTCCATTTATGGAAATTCCAGAAAATGCAAAACACTGATAGTGACAGAAAGTACATCAATGACTTCCTGGGAATACATTTGGGATAGAGTGAAAAGAAGGATTATAAAGGGAGGTTATGGATATGTTTATTATCTTGATTGTGGTGATTATGTCACAAGTATATACATGTTTCAAAACTCATTAAACTGTACAATTTAATTATATGTTTTTTATTCTAAGTCAGTTAATATTTAAAAAAAACTCTTGAAGCAGAAGGAAAATGATCTGAGAAAGAAACTTTGAGATATAGGAAAAAATAAAAATCAAAGAGTAAAGCTGTAGATGAAGCTAAATGAGTATTGTTTGTATAAAATAGCAATAATAAAAGTACTAATTTTTATTAGAGTTGTGTAGATTAAGTATGGATATTACAGTTTCTAGAGAAATAACTAAAAATCAGTAGAATGTAAAATTAAAAAGCCAATAGAGAACAATGGAATTAATTTTTTAAAATCCAGTCAATTCAAATAAGGTGGAAAAGGAACACACAACAGGACCAAGAAATAAAGAACAAACATTAAAAATGTAGATTTCAAACCAAATATATTAGAATTTCACTAAGCGAATGTGGAAAAAGGCAAAGATTTTTAGAATGAATTTTTAAAATAATGTTTACACCAAATACATGCCAAATATAACAACACATATTATTCTGACACTGATCAAAAGAAAACTAGTTTTACTATAATTATACATATGAAATAGACTTTATGGCAAAAAATTACTAGTGATAAAAGGAAAAATTAATCAGCAACATATAACAATTATTTCACTTTAAATACCAGTGATCAACAAATTTCAGCATGCTTATCCTTTGTGTGACAACAAATTCCTCTGTATTTCTAATCAAGAGATAAAATGAGTTAACAGTCTCCATTTTCAGGCAAGGATCCTTTACAACTTCAAGTTACGAAGAGAAATTGTACTCTGTGGGTGCTCTTAGCAGCAAAGATTCTATGGTTCTGTGATTCTGAGTTTCCATGGTGATATGAGTCTCTGATTCCAATGTAAGATAATTAAGTTGCTGAGGAAGTTGATGTCATTTTCACCGTCCTCTCAAACCCTGAGTAAAAAAATTGGCTATTTCTAGTATGAGTCACAGCAAAGGCAAGAGCAACAGCACATGTAAAGGGTACCAGTGTGACCAAAAAGAGATTTCCTAAAGGAAGGAGAGGAAAGATCAAACAAGCATATATTGGTGTACTCAAAGCACTGCCATAACTGATTTAAAATGAAATTAAAACAGACTTTGGAAGCTGTTTGGAGAAGGCTGGAAGGGTTACCTGCTGCTTGACCCGATTTCCTTTGCAGTGACATTGTAAATCCATCATTGGATGGATTAGATATCTGAACATTAAAAAGACAGTAAAAGCCATTGTGTCTTTTTGTAATGTATATGATTCAAGACACCTGGACAAGAAACGAAATCTCTGGTACAAACCAATGGAATGTAGACTATAAATCTGAAGACAGACTCCACAGAGAAAGATAAAAATATCCAACAAATATAGATATTAAAGCAACTTTTACAAATAATCCAATTGCTTTAAAACTCTAAAACCCTAATTGATAATACAAGGGACTATGTTACTTAATCCTTTTCTCAAAGACCAGAATATAGAAGGAACACATTGAGTATAATTAAAGGATGTTATGTAAGTTACATCATTTACATTTAATTTTCTTACAAGACTTTAAATCTCTGTTGTTTCACATAATCACTTTGATTTGTCACCTCATTTTTTTGTCTTTGTTGTGGCAAACAACACAAAATGAAATACTACATGTCTTAAGTTTACAGTTTGATAAGTTTTAAAACATGCATAAACTAGTGTAACCCACATTCTTATCAAAATATAGACTACTTCCATTACACCAGAAATTTCCTAATCTAGTGTGTCCTCACTCTTGAAGCAATCACTGTTGTTTGTTCTGATTTCTTTCATCATAAGTTAATTATGCATGTTCTAGAACTTCATATGAATGGAAAAATATATATGCCTATACCAGGCTAATAAATGTAGCTTTATGGTAAGTCTTGAAATCAGGTAAGGTACATCTCACAACTTTGTTCTTCCTGATTGCTTCTGCTAAGGCTTGTTGCATTTTCATATACATTTTAGAATGAACTTGCCAGTTTCTAAAAAAAAAAAAAAAAAGTCCTGTTGGAATGTTAATGGGTTTTGTTGAATCTATAGAACAATTGAGGAGAATCAATAACTTAACAATAAGTTTTCTAATCAATGAAACTGAAAGCCAGGCATGGTGGTTTACACCTGTAATCCAGGCACTGTGGGAGGCTGAGGTGAGAGGATTGCTTGAGCCCAGGAGTTTGTGAGCAGCTTGGACAACAAAGAAAGACCTCATCTTTACAAAAAAATACAAAAATTAGCTGGACCATGTAGCTGGTAGTTGTTCTTCTGCTGACAGATGTTCTATTTCCTGGCTTTGTGGATTTTCACAGTAAACATGCACAGCTTAGGATTTGGTCATGTGCAGATTTCTGGAGCTATTTCTCTACAAAAAAAATACAAAAATTAGCCAGCCAGACATGAGGGCATGTGCCTACAGTCCCAGCTATTCGGGAGACTGAGGTGGGAGCATTGCCTGAGCCCAGGAGTTAAAGGCTGCAGTGAGCTTTGATCTTGCCACTGCACTCCAACCTAGGCAACAGATCAAGACCTTATCTCAAAAAAGAAAGAAATTGATATATCTTTCCATTTAATTTTTTAATTTTAATGCTTAATAAATTTCAGTAATGAATACAATAGCTTTTATTGTAGATTTTTGTACATGTTAATTTTATTCCTCTTTCACTGATCATATGGTAGTTTTTAAGATAATTTTAGTTTTCAATTATTCATTGCAATATATAGAAATATAGTTCATATTTTTATTGGCCTGTATTCTAGTCTTATACCTTAATAAATACACTTACTAGGCCAGGTACAGTGGCTCAAACCTGTAGTCGCAGCACTTTGCAAGGCTGAGGCAGGCAGATCACTTGAGACCAGGAGTTCGAGACCAGCCTGGCCAACATGGTGAAACTTTGTCTGTACTAAAAATAAAAAAATTACATGGGCATGGTGGCACATGTTTGTAGTCCCAGCTACTTGGGAGTCTGAGGTGGGAGAATCACTTGAACCCAGGAGGTGGAGGTTGCAGTGGGGCAAGATTGTGCCACTGCACTCCAGCCTGGGTGACATAGTGAGATTCCATCTCAAAACAACAATAATAATAATAATATAATAAAAATGGATGTTTCATAAGCAGAAGTTTGGCTCACTGAGATTTATCAAATAGTAAGTGTATGTGCAATCTTAAAATTTATTTCATCATACTTTGGACTTTTATCTAATGATATGTTTTAGCAGGCACTTAAGAAATTAATTGTGGTAAAATACGCATAACATAAATTTACAATCTTAGTCATGCTTTTGTTGAAAACTTGTTGTCATTTTATCAGTTGGATCCATTTCTGAACTATCTTGTAGGGAATCGGTCAAAGTGGTTAGAAAAATCATAAAGATAGTTACAGGAAATAGACACAAACCTTCTTGGAAGGCCGGAGGCATTGCATAGCTTCAGAAAGATTTGGCTGAAGGCAGCCTAATCCTCTTTACCATGAGTTGATAGCAAAAGAGCAAATAACAAGGGAATGTGGGGGAGTTTATCTAAATAGTTTGTTTACTTATGTGGTCCTAAGACCAACCTTTGATCATCCGCAGGTGCATGATTGCTCTCTATTCGGGGGTCAGCAATGTTAATTACCTTCTAGTGGTGTTTACTTGAGACTTGTCATTTAATCTGTACTAAATAAATGCAAACTTTGCTGGCTTATCGTGGCTGAGACTGCAGATTCAGGCAGCAGAGCCCCTTAGCCGCACTGACAGGCAAAATATGTGTCAGTGTACATCTTTCATCCGTCGGGTCAGGGTCTGTGGGTCAGATCCTGGCAGGTGGTGCCCCCTGAGAGGAACACTGCAAAAGGATCACAATGGATCCCTTGAAAATGAAGGTGAAAAGGACTGCGCAGTCAGTGAGTCAGTAAGTCATTGGTGCCCACTCAGGATTTCCAAGTTCGGGGGGGATTGTTCAGGCCAGGGTTTCATCATGGGACTACAGTTATCAGCTCAACAGATACAGTATATAAAAGTATTGAAACAGCTACTTAAAGCTAGTGGAGCCTCGGTTTCACAGGCTCAATTAAGGGACCTAATGCAAACTGTTGTATTCCATAACCCGTGGTTCCCAGAAGAAGGCACAACAATAGGCATAGAGCTCTGGGAACAAGTGGGGAGAAATCTTAACCAATATCATGAGCAAGGGCAATGGGTCACAGTATCATCTCTAAGGCTATGGGCTCTAGTAAGGGTGACTTTCATCCCATTATACACAGAAGAGCCTAAAAAAGGGAAGGAGGAAGAACTGTCACCTACTTTACCGCCTCCTTGTCCTTCAGTCCCACGATCACCAGGCCAAAATAACAAAGAGGAAACAGAGGTTTTGTGTGAGACCCCTCGTCCAATAGATAGGAGAAAAGACAAGGGATATGCTACAGCTATGGGACCATGTCTTAGGCAAGCAGCATTAGAAGGGGAGCTCTTAGTCTGCCTGGTAATGCAAGATTGACAAGGCAATCAGATATATAAACCCACTTCTTTTAACGCTTATATAAAGATAAGAAAAAACATTAGAAGCCGGAGCCATGCAGCCAAGCAGGTGGTAGGCAGAAGGGAAAGCAGCAAGGAAACTCATGGACCTGGAGCCGGTGAGTGCTCCTGGGAACTTGACCTTTCATGACAATTTAACAGCAGATGTAAGGCAACTTAAAACTAAAATTTTAGAATCCCTTCACACCTTAGATCTACACACCCAACAAACAGCCATATGGAAGGGTGTGTGAGATCATCTCTCTTGGATAGACCCCCACTCCTGGGGGTCTCTCCTTGATTGGAAAAGAATGTTGCTGATTATACTTATGTTTGTCTTGTTATTTACTAATTCTAGGATGCAAAGCCAGAATAAGAGCAGTGACTGCCACACCTCACAGACCTGTTGCTGCACACATCTGCCCTCTTCAATCAATAAAGCCTGATACAGAAAACAGAAAAGGGGGAGATGTAGGAGATCAGTCAAAGTGGCTAGAAAAATTGTAAAGATAGTTATAGGAAACAGACACAAACCTTCTTGGAAGGCTGGAGGGGTTGCATAGCTTCAGTAAGATTTGGCTAAAGGCAGCCTAATCCTTTTTACCATGAGTTGATAGCAAAAGAGCAAATAACAACGGAATGTGGGGAAGTTTATCTAAATAGCTTGTTTACTCATATGGTCCTAAGACCAACCTTTGGTCATCCGCATGTGCTCTCTGCTCAGGGGGTTGGCAATGTTAATTACCCTCTAGTGGTGTTTACTCCAGACCTTTGTCAGTTAATCTGTACTAAATAAATGCAAACTTCGCCAGCTTATCAGGGCGAGGCTGCAGATTCAGGTAGCAGAGACCCTTAGCCACACTGATAGGCAAAATATCTTTGTCAGTGTACATCTTTCATCTGTCACTGGGTCAGAGTCTGCAGGTTGGACCCCGCACTATCTATTCTGCTTTATTGATTCGTATGTCCATCCTTACAATAATACCACACTGTCTTGATTACCATAGCTGTGTGTATGTCTTGTGATCAAGTAGTGTTAGGCGTCAAATATTTTCTTTTGGTCATGTTATTTTGGCTATTCTAGATCATTTTCATTTGTATATAAATTTGAAAAATCAGCTTGTCAATTTCTACTCAAAAGCTTGTGCAATTTTGAATAGATGCACTGAACCTATAAATCAATCTGAGGAGACTGACATTGTAACAATAATGAGTCTTGTTTACATGAACATGTCACAATTCTCCTTCCATTTCTATCAGCAATGTTTTGTAGTTTTCAGTGTACAGGTGTTTTACATCTTCTGATATATTTGCCCCCAAGCATTTCATATGTTTAAAAATTCTATTATGCATGTTTTAAAGACTTTAATATCTTTTTGTTTATTGATAGTATATGGAAATAAATCTGATATTTTTTGATTTAGTGTACTTCAACCTTGCTAAACTCACTGATTAAGTCTAGTATCTTTTTTTGTAGAATACATCAGATTTTCTACATAGATCACATTATCTGCAAATAAAGATGGTTTTACTATTTCCTTTCCAAACTGTACACACTTTTTTTATTTTTTGGCCTATTGCACTGACTAGAACTTCCAGTACAATGTAGAAGAAGTCATGGAGTGGACTTCCTCACCTTGCTCCAATTTTAGGTGAAAAGCTCTCAGTCTTTTAATATTACATATGATGTTTCTCATAGGTTTTTAAAAATTACCTTTATTAAGTTTAGGAAACTCCCTTTTAGTTTCAATTTATAAAATTTCCTTTTATTCTCAAATCAGGAAGTGTTGTTGGATATTGCCAAATGCTCTTCCTATATCTAGTGAGATAATCACAAAGATTGTATTTTATAGTTTAATACAGTGAAATATACTGAAGGATTTTCTAGTGTTAAAGGATTGTTGCATTTCTGCTATAAACTGCACTTGGTTATGATGTCTTTTTATTTTTATATATTGCTACATTTGTTTTGTTGAAATTTAGTTTAAAATTTTTGTGTCTTTGTTCATGAAGGATAATGGTCTGTAGTTCTCTCTTCAAATGTCTTTATCAGCTTTTGGTATAGGTAATGCTTGCCTCATAGAATGACTTGAGAAATATCTCCTCCTCTTTAATGTTCTGAAAGAATTCATGAAGAATTTGCATTATTTCTTCCTTACATGTTTGGTATCATTCACCAGTGAATCTGTGTTGGCCTGAGTTTTCTTTGTGGGAACATGTTTAACTACAAAACTACAAATCAGTTTTTAAAAACTGATACATGGGTCTTCAGTTTATCTACTTCTTATTAAGTGAATTTTGGTAGTCTGTGTCTTTCCATAAATTTGTTCATCTAAGTTATCTAATGTATTAGCACTTAGTTGATTACTATATTTTTGTATTTTCCCTTAGATATCTGTAAAACCTCAGCTTTGTCAGAGAAAGTTTTTATCTCACTTTCATTTTTGAATGACAGGATTGCTGGCTATCATATTTTGTGAGGTTCTTTTTAGTGTTTTGAATATATCATCCTGCTCTTTTCTCATCTGGAAAGTTTCCGCTGAAAAATATTCTAGTAGTCTTATTGCAGTTCCTTGTATGTAACAAGTCACTTTTTCCTTGCTGCTATCAAATTTCTGTTTTTAGCTTTTGAGAATTTGACATAATGTGTCTTGGCATGGAACTTTTTGGATTCATCTTATCTGGTATTCTACCCATCTGATCTTCTTGGTTATGGATTTCTCTTCCCCTTTCCAGGCTTTGAAATTTTTCTTCCTTTATTTCTTTTAATGTTTTCTGTCTTTTTCTGTCTCTCCTACTTCAGGTACTTGGATTGTGTATATTTTTCTGCTTGCTGGTTTTCCAAAAGTTCGTTAAACTGTCTTGACTTTTTTCATTCATTTATTCTTTCTTTTTAGATGAGATGATTTCCAATGACCTGTCTTCCAGCTCATAAGTAATTTCTTTCACTTGATATAGTCTGTTATTGAACCCTTCTATTGAATTTTTTAGTCCAGTTACTGTGTTCTTCAGCTCTATAATTTCTGTTTTGTAACTTTAAAATTATTTCTCTTTGTTAAAATTCTAAGTTTGTTCATGCATTGCTGTCTTGATCTCAATAAGCATATTTATGACTGTTTATTGATTCCCTGTCAGATAAATCACATATGTCCATTTCATTAGGGTTGGCTTCTGGGGATTTATATTGTTCTTTTATTTGGAAAAAAAATTCTTGTTTTTTCATTTTCTTTGACTCTCTATGATGGTTTCTGTATATTAGATACAACAACTACCTCTCCCAATCTTGTTATACTAGACTCATGCAGGAGATGGTCCTCACCAATCAGCCCAGCCAGAGATTCTAAGTGCCTCTCAACCCTTTGAGCTTATCCAACTCACTGATTTTGTTCTCAATAGCTTCCAGGAAATTAGAGTGGTCCAAGTCATGCTAGTGCCCTGAGAAAGGTGAAATAAAAGCCAGTTTCTCAAAATGCAGCTTGGAGAACTGGGGTGTCAGATATGTGTTACAGTTACTTCTTTCCTCAGGGAGAAACTGAGAGCCACATTTTCGCTCTCATTCATTCTGATTTAAACCAAGAGGTTCTGTGACGGATGCTTGCACTCTCATTCAGACTGCGCTTTGGGGCACTTGATGCATGCAGAAATTCTTTCTAGGGAAAGTCTTCAGACCTGGATTTTTTGCTGTAGCATGCCAGTAGAGAAAATGTGGAGGATTACTCACTCTCTTGTTCAAGCTTGCAAAAGTCTCACAACCTCCCTTCAGGGAGAGTCTGCAGACCTGGATTTATTGCTGTTGTAAGCTGAGGTGGAAGGCACAGGAGTGCTGTCCTTCCCATTGAGGCTGGAGGAGGTTTATTCTTTATTTGCCACATAAGCTCCCATGTGCAGGCTAGTCAGAAACCAGACCTCAGGGTGGTGCTTGGGAAGTGTGCAAACTCCTTCCAGAAAGAAGCCAGAAGCTGGACTGAACCCAGGAGCTACAGCTGCTGAGAGTGTTTGCATGATTCAAAACCACTTCTGTGATCTTTGTGCTTCAAAGAAATTATCCAATGCCAAATCCCTGCTGCTCTCCATGCAAGGTGATTTAAGAGCCAAACCTGCTGGCAGGGATCATAAAAGCTGGGGTACCATATGTGTTGTAGGAACCCTTCACTCCTCAGGAAAAACCTAGGAGATGGGAATCCTAAAGTGGTGTGCTCAGGGTGGAGTTTGTGCATGAGTCTTTCTCTGCTTTTCCTACTCACTTCAATGTGGATATTTTCTTAATTCTTCAGTGCACGGGGGTCTTTCAACTAGTTCTGGCTTTCTTTGGAAGGTAATTGATCCATGTGTAGGTGTCTATTTGGGCATCTGGGGAGGAGGGATAGTCAGGAGTGTCCTATTCTGCCATATTTTGACATCACTCCAGTTCTAGGCATTTCTTATAAAATCCTTTGCATTTCTACATAGCAAATCATTCATATCATGCACATATATAGACACTTTTATTTCTTCCCGTTCTGATCTGTATGTTTATGCTTGTAATTTTGTTTTCTTGTGTTATTTTATCGGGCAGAATTCCCAGTACTATGTCAAATGTGTGATGAGAGTGAATACTCTTGCCTTGTTCCTGACCTAACGGGGAAAACATTAAGTCTACACATGCCTGATAATTCTTGATTTGATGCCAGATATAGTAAATTTTACTTTGTTGAATGCTAGATAATTTTGTGTTCTAATATATATTTTTGAACCATTGTTCTGCAGTTTTGTTAAGTTACTTGGGAATGCTTTGATCCTTTCAGGTCTGATTTATTAGGTGGCACGAGAGCAAGATTTTAATCTAGAGCTAATAATTCCCCACTACTGAGGCAACATCATTCTGCACACTCTTCCCAGTACTTCAAGAATTGTAAAGTTTTCCACTCTGTCTGGCAGGAACAGGCATGAATCTTGGCTTTAAAAATAAACTCCAATTGTTTTCTCTTATTCTTTCAGGTATTTCTTTTCCCAGGTTCTGGTAGTTTCTTTACATACATGCACTAATCAATACTCTGCTGAATACTCTGCAAATATCTGGAGTTCTCTCTCTGAGCATCTTTCAATTTTTTTTGTCCTTTGCCCTGGTCTCCACAGATTCTTAGTTATTTCTGCTTAACTCTGAGAGTCTGCTGTTGTCTGCCTGGGCTCCTTTTCTTGTGTTTGTCCTGGAAATTTTCTCAAGGAAGTAAACTGGGTCACTTCATTTGTTTCTCATCTCTCAAGGATTGCCATCCTTTACTGCCTGATGTCTAATATCTTAAAACTATTGTTTCATATAGTTGTCTGTTTTTAAAGTCATTTCAGTTATAAGTGTTGATATGGTTCGGCTGTGTCTCCACCCAAATCTCATCTTGAATTGTAGCTCCCATAATTCCCATGTGTTGTGGGAAGGACCCAGTGGGAGAAAATTGAATCATGGGGGCGGTTTCCCCCATACTGTTCTTGTGGTAGTGAATAAGTCTCATGAGATCTGATGGTTTTATAAGGGGAAACCCCTTTCGCTTGGCTCTCACTTCTCTCTTGTCTGCCACCATGTAAGATGTGCCTTTCACCTACCACCATGATTGTGAGGCCTCCTCAGCCACGTGGAACTGTGAGTCAATTAAACCTCTTTTTCTTTATTAAACTTTACTTTTGGTAATTTCTTTATAAATTACCAAGTCTCGGGTATGTCTTTATCAGCAGTGTGAAAATGGACCAATACACGTCTGCATTCATTCCCTGTTATTTTATCTTTGCCAGAAGCAGAAGTTTGGAATTATTTTCTAAAATTTATTTTGTTTTACAATTATGTAAATTTTTTGTGGTTCTCAAGTAAAATAAACAGGACATGGTACATTCAAAGGACAGTGGGTAATATTTATATCCCCTCTGTCTTATTTCCTTCTCAGGAAGTGTCTAAGATGACCACCAATGATCCCCACCTCCTGGTATTCATGACCTTGTGTAATCACTTCCATATAAGTAAGTAGCTTCTAACCAATAGAATATGGCAACATTGAGGGGATATCATCTCATGATTAGATTATAAAAGATTGTGACTACCATCTCCCTTATAGACTCTTTCTCTTGCCTCCTTAAATCAGCAAGTTTCCATGTTAGAGAGTTCTGCATGGCAAGGCACTGTGAGTGGCTTCTAGCCAGCAGCTATCAAAGAAGTGAATACTCTCAGTTCAATAATTCTTGAGGCACTGAATCCTCCCAAAATCATACAATTGAGCTTGGAAGTGGATCTTTCTCCAACTGAGCCTTCAGATGAAACCCTATCCTTGGATGATAACTTGATTATAGATTTGTGAGAGACCTTAAACAGAGAACCTAGATAATTTATGTCATCTTCCTGACCCACAGAAACTGTGAGACAACAAATGTGCATTTTTATGCCACTACATTTTGGGGTTATTTGCTACATTTTCATTGATAATAACACCCTTTATAGATAATGTTTTATTTGATGATTTATTTTTCCATTATTCATTTTTAATTTTTAAGGTAAGTATATATTTAGTTGATCTTCATTATTCACAAATTCTGCATCTGCAAATTCACCTACTTGCTAAAATCCATTTATAACCCCAAAATCAATACTGACAGCACTTTTGCAATTATTTGCAGACACACACAGAGTAGCAAAAATGTGTCACCTCATGTGCACATTCTCAGTTGAGTTAGAACAAGGCAATACTCTGGCTTCTTGTTTCACCTCTCATACAGAGAAGACCAGAGGATGGAGACAGAAGGGGCAGCACAGTAATGTACAAGAAGCTGCAGCTGTTAATGGAGTGACATTAGGCTTAATTAACACTTCTAAAGCTCATTTTCTCTTTTGTAAAATAAAATAAAATCTACCCAGGATAAGCTGTTTTTAGGATTATTTTATATATATATATGTATCTATATATATATGTGTTTATATATATGTGTGTGTGTATATATATATAAAATAGCTGAGATTTCATTTTACAAAATAATATTTTATATATATATAATTTTATTTTTCCCCTGGAAGCAATGGTTCATAACACTTCTAAACCTCATTTTCTCTTTTGTAAAATAAAATATACCCAGGATAAGTTGTTTTTAGGATTTATATATATAGATAGATAGATATGTATCTATATATGTGTGTGTTTATACATATGTGTGTGTGTATATGTATATATATATAATAGCTGGGATTTCATTTTACAAAATAATATTTTATATATATATATAATTTTATTTTTCCCCTGGAAGCAATGGTTCAGTACTTGCTAATCCAGGGTTTATGATGACTTTATAGAACATAACTTTTGTAAATAAAAAGGACTGGGGAAAGGGGTTACTTCATTCGTTTCTCACTGCAACTTTTTATATATATGTTATGCACATATATAATAAATACATACATATTCATTCACTTTTACGTTAAAAATGGTAATAGCAAATATTTTCATTTTTCCACTTTATGTTTTTAACATATTATATCCTTAATATAATTTCAGGATACATAATATTATATCCTGAAATTCACTTCATGTTAGTACAGAAAGATATTTCTCCCTCCCTCTCTCTCCTCCAACCCCTCTCACGGCTAAATAGTACTGTTTTAAATGTTTGTGTTATCTGCTGTCTTTTGGTATTAAAAACAGTTTTGCAATAATCTTTTGGCTATTTTTTATTGTGAAGAATGTATCTTTGGGATATATTCTTCAAGTGGGGTTTCTGAATCATAGGGTAAAAATTATGTAGTGCCGTGGTTTTAGAGATATGTCCATACATTCTTTGATAATCCTCCTTAAGAGGTGGAGCTCAATTCCCATTCATTTGATTATCGGCTGGCCTGAGTGCCTCACTTCTAGCCAACAGAATACAGAAAAAATAATCAGATGCCACTTCCAATTTAGGTTATAAGAAGCCTGTGGCTTCTGTTTTGTGTGTGTTCTCTCCCCCTTGACTCACTTGGACTGTACAGAAGTCAGCTATCATATCATGAGGCAGCCTTAGAGAGAGGGAAGACACCTGCCATATCATGAAAACAATAAGGTAGCCTAAGGAAGGGCCCACATAGTGAGGAACTGAGGCCCGTAAGCAGCCATGTGAGCAAGCTTGGAAACTGATATTCTGAGGCTTGCCCACAGCTATTTGATTGAGTTTGGAAGCATATCCTCCTACAATTGAGCCTTGAAATAATTGCAGCCCTGGCCTATGGCTTGATTGCAACATCACGAGAGACTAAACCTGAACCACCCAGCCCAGCTGTTCCCATTCTTGACTCACAGAAACTATGCGACAATAAATATTTATAATTTCAAGTTGCTAAGTTTTGGGTAATTTGTTACACAGCAATAGATAACTAATACATGTAGTTTTGCTAGATATTGCCAAACCCTCTAAAGAGGGCTGTAAGTTTGCTGTCCCACCAGTAACACATGATATTTCCCATGGCCTAACAGTGTTGCCAAACTTAGAAAATATTTTATAAGCAAATAGATGGGAAATGGTATTGTACTATGGCTTTAATTTTCTTCCTTTCATTATGAGGGAGGCTTCCTGTTCCTTCAACATCTTCTTTTTAAATTAGGTACTACATAAGGACAGCTTTCCGTAATTCTTAAGATGAAGAACTAAAGTTTTTACAATTCCTACAAGGCTCTCCGCATAGGAATAGTAGTAGAGTCTGGCCTTTTCCTGACTCTACAACTTCCACTGGCATCACTCCTTGAGGGTGAGGTATCTGAATTAATCATTACTATATACCTTTACCACTAAACTCAGTGTCTACACTGTCTTAAGCTCAAGTCAAGAAATAAATATTGATATAACTGTGGAAGTCTAAATAGAGATGAAGAGGTTAAGTGTTCACAACCAACTATTTCTTATCCTCTTTGTCTTGACCAACCTTTAGTCAGACTTCTCTCCTTCCCGCAGGCCCCTTCATTTTGGCTTCCCCTGAGTTGAAACACTGCACTAATGCACTATGATTCAAAACATCTCCCCTTAACCGCTTATTCTCAGAATTCCATGACAACAGAAACAATTTCTGTAGAAATGCCCTGGTTTTGCCACCTGCACACCCCTATCTCATATCCTTCTCCCTACAAAGTTCCTGCTAACCCTTCTTACTCTTCCCTATAAAAAAAAAAAAAGTCATTTTGTTGATATTGTGATTCTTGCAGATTTGAGATTGGAGCATTCTTCCTAATGCAACAGTGTTCTTTCTGAATACATTGTCTTCTTATCTAAGTGCATTTGTTTTGACATGAGAAATAAATTGCTAAATGTAAAATTGCTGCCTATTTCATAACATATCAAAAAGCATGACTCGTGTGAAAATTATGATTCAAAATTGTATTCATTTATACAAATGAAACATTGGTCTGTGAACATGCATTTTGCTTTTTTAAAGCTTGATGTAAGGTCTAAGGGTTAAGATAACAATTTTAGTATTCTCTTTGGCTGGTTCATTTTTAAAAAATCATGTTGTTGTTGTTGTTTCTGAAATCTAACCTTCTCAGTCTCTCCCTTATGTCTGTTCCAATTTTCAAGTCTCTTTTCTGTCTCAATCTGTCTGTCTACCACGCTCTACCCCTTAGATCCCCACTTCTATTCCTATGTCTATTTTTTTCTCTTCAGTCTCCCGTCTCTCCTCCTTTCTAGGCTGGCTCCTTTGTCCCCATTTCCCCCATTTTCTCTCTGATTCTCTGCTTCTCACTTCCCTCTCTTTGTGCCTCAGTCTCCTCTTCCCTGCTCTTAATTTCCCTTTTTCCTTCAGTCGACCTCTTATTACTTATTACTGCAATATCAAATTCCCTTATAAGGATTCCTTACCGTTGTTATTGGCATAATTACAGTACACAATGATTGTTCAGCCCCCAGATTTTGTCCCTCTCTCCCACAGTGAAATCTCCCTGGAGAGGACCGCACCATTCCACGCTTCCCCTCTGAGCAGTCGAATCTCCCGGCATGGGGCTGTACCATTCACAAACACGTCCATGGTACCATCTAAAATTCCTCCCCTTTCGTCAGAAGCATGCTTCCAATAGAGGAAGGTTCACTCCAACTTCCTCTTCAATCCCCCTTGTAAAATCTTTCTGCAAAAGTGTGCTCCTTAATGCTCCTTTCGCAGGCCTCCTTTCCGTCGCCTTCCCCTCCCTTCGCTGCCGCTGTGGTACAGCCCATTCTCGGGCTCAGCACTGGGCGAATCCTCCGCTAGTACGAAGACGACCGGGCTCTCAAGATGGCGGCCCCATGCGGAAACAGCTCCAGGGAGCAGCCATGTTGCTTCCTGAACAAAGCCTCTGAAGATGCGGAACGGGCAAAACCGCCCAGTACGGAACGGCGCAGCCTCGGGAGCCCGGTGTGGTGCTCGCGGACAGGAAGCAGGAGAGTTTGCCAATAGGGATGTGACAGCGGTTCCCATTAAGCGGTGATGGTGGTTTTGGGACCTGATAATCGAGCTGGGAGTCAGAGGCGGGATGTGTGCGGTGAAGGGTGAGTCTGTGGGATTGGTAATGGGAGGAGAGGAGCCCGTGAGGGTCAGTGGTAGGAGGTTTATGAAATCACTGGTGGGGGAAGTAGGTGGGATTAATGTTGGATTTATGTGGGAGTCCGAGATGTGATTAGTAACAGGGAAGTGAGAGGTGAGGGGGTGTCTATTAGGTCAGGAATGGCTTGCAGGTGGACTGACTGGTGGGTTTAACTGGGTTCAGTGATTTAGGGGACTCTGAGGAATCAGTGATGGGAGGCTATGGACTAAATGATGGGGGCGTCCATGTGTTCAGTGATGTGATGGACATGGGGGAGTTCAGTAGGGTATATGATTACTAGGCCTGAGAATTCCGAGATTTAGATGGGGACAGTAATGGGGCCACGGTGTCATGGTGGTCAGCCACATTTTACTGGGGAAGGCCTTTACTTAACGTTAAATTTCCACAGGTCATAGGCAACTGTTTGAGTTCTTAAAGGTCAACCCCTTTTCACATCTTTTCTTAGTCTACCATTGCCCACTAAGCATTTCTGATGGTACCCCCATCAAATGGTCATTTTAAAACAAGACCAAACAAATCAAAACTGATAAAATCATAATTAAAAGTTTGATTTCAGTTCTCCACTTTCTAAGTTTATTTAAATCATTTTATATTTTATTCAAGAGACATTTATTGAGCATCTGCGGGATATCCAGAGATGAGTATGATTGTTTCTTTTGTTTCCTTCCAGATGTTTTGATACCCCCATATAAAATAATCTGTCTGTCATGGGAGCCCCCACGTCCTCTGAAATAGTTCAGCTCTGTCTGCATGACTTGTCCTGGGACTGAGGAAAATTTACCAGGTATTTACCTTCCTGCATTGTGGTATACTCTTTTTTTTTCCAGTGGTTCCAACCTATCACCATTTTTGTATACAGACAATAGAGCTGTTGAAAAAGAGCAATAAAAATTTAAACAGAAAACATCTTAAAATTAACCTTTGAGTTCATGCACATTGATTTAGCAAGAGTTTTCTAAGTTGGGGGAAAATATAAGAGAGTTCTTGGAAAATTGTTGGAATTCAGCTGCTGGTTCTTTTTAGGAATAGGGAACACATGCCTCAGTTTTCCATTTGGTCATTCCCATTCTTACTGCCAAGGAGCTCCATCTTCACTTATATCCTTATATAGCTATCCATGATTATTGCCTCATGAAAATCTTCTATAAATAGAATTGCTGATTCCCAAGGGGAACAGTAAGTTGTTAGTAAATCAACTGGAAACATATCTTCACATCTATCCAATTATAAAACCTTGGTCAACTTCTATGTGATCATATTATAGGTACAAGAGGAGTAAAGAATGATCCCTCCTCCACATGGTGCCTGCTGAGACTTCTGTAAGGCTCAAACAACCTTATCCCACAGGGTAGCCCATTAGTTACTTGACTTCTGATGTTAGTTGTTGCAAGATTGGTGAATGTGAAAGCTGCAGTCTGGGTTTGGACTATGAAAAACATTCTGATCACCAGTTTTGCTTTTTCAGTCATCTGGCCTTTTGGAAGAGCAAAAAATGATGAAGTCCCAGGTGAGTTGCTTTTTAAAAAAAAAAAAAATTCTTCTTTGGTTTTTCATACAATCAAATGGAAAGTAAAGTTAGCTAAAATCTGGATGAAGGAAAAGGTGGTAACAACAAAGATCAAGACCTCGAAAGAGTTTCTAGGTAATATGTAAAAAACCTGGCTGGCAACCATTTTTATAAATTAATGTACTAATTGTTCTGATCTTACTTGCAGACATCATGAGTTACACGATTTGCATTTCCCTAAAGAGAAAGATAAATTTCCCATGTTAAGAAAATGTTTCTAGCCATATAAGACTAAAAATAAATTCCTTTTTGGCTTTTACTCTAGGAGGTGGAGTGCACAGTGTTCTCACCAACACTCCTTTGCTAAATGCCACAGTAGGTTTCTTGTAGTGGTGTCTTAAAACGATCTTTTTTAGAGGGGATGTATCATAATGTCTAGCCAAACTCCTTGAACCTTATTCTTGAGTGAGGGTTGGCAAATTATTGCCATGGGCCAAATCCCATTCTCCAACTGTTTTTATAAAGAAAGTTTTATGGAGCACAGCCATGCTGTTTGTTTACATGTTGTCTATAGCTTTTTTCTAGCTACAATGGCAGAGTTGAGTAGTTACAACAGAAACCGTATGGCCTGCAATGCCAAAAATGTAAACTTTACTGAAAAAGTTTGTTGACCCCTGCTTTCAAGGAACAAATTGATTACAGATGCTTCCTATTGTCCAGCTTTATCCACAGGTAAATTCATTAACGTAAGATAGGCACATTTTGAATGTTTTTCTAAACTATGTATTTCTCTCAAAAAAGCCATTCTTAAATTATATTTATCTGGCAAATCTTTGGAGGGCAAAGGTCCCTGATGCTCCATATCTTTTGCTGTGCTTTCAGAATTTGTAGGATTAGTGTCAAGTTCAAGGCTGTTCCTTCTTTGCTCTCCCATTTTTAAAAGTTTGTATTATTTTTTCTTTCTGCCAGCATTGGCATATAAACATTTAAAATTATATAAAAGATAAAAATTTAAAACAGAGAGACCTTTTAACTTAAACTCACCTTCTCCCAGGATAATCAGTGTTAACCATTGCTTCTAACCTTCCAAACCTTTTTTGATATGAATATAACTGTGATTGATTAACAGTTTATATGTAGAAGTACAAATGTGTGAGAATGTCTCTTATTTTCTTGCGCTTTTCTTTTGGAAAAAGAAGGTTATAGTAAATATTTTGTTCTGCAACCTGATTTTTAACTTACTGTCCAATATAAAGGTCTTTTGTATACACTTAGAATATCTTTTTCCATATCAGTACATAGAATTCTCCTTTACTATTTTATCAGATGCATAATATTTCCTTGTGGCCTGGTTGCCTGGGATTGTTTCTTCATCTTACAGATAGAGATTATAATCCCCATAGGGTTGTTGTGAGAATTGAGTAAAAACCATGCTTAAAACCATAACTGGGGCATGGTTTGTACTGATATATTTAAGTGTCAGCTGTTATTACATCATCATTATGATTATCGTTGTGAAATCTTGAAATCAGCTTTTACATTAGGAGTCCTTGTGTATATTTTACAGTAGAGTTTAGAGTTCTATTGCAAAAAGATTTTTTCATTGTTGTTTTTGTTTTTGGATTTCAGTAGCTTTGTTTTAGAGCCGTGCTGTCTAATATAGTAGCCATCAGCCAAATGTGGTTACTGAACACTTGAAATTGGCTAGTCTGAATTGAGATATGTTAAGTACATACCAGATTTCAAAGTTATATTTCCAAAAAACTCACTAGTAGTTTTTAAGGATTCCATGTTGAAACGATATCTTGAGTAATATATGGGAATAAATGTATATTATTGAAAATAATTTTTTGAATGTGGTTCCTAGAAAATGTAAACTTACCTATCTGGTTAGCTTTATATTTCTGTTACACAGCACTGCTTTGAGGGAGAATGGATTTTTTACTTAGCCCAGTAAATCCAACTGCTGTGGCTAATTAGTTGATTAAATGCTTCTTCCTTCAGGAAGAGGGCTGTATATTAGTTCCCTACCATCCAGAAGTGAAGTCGTTTTTACACATATCCTCCTTTTCAGCCTTTAACACCTACTTCCCTTTCATTTCTTCCATCACTTAATAGCACTTCCATTTCCCCAGGGACCTGAGCTGTAAAAATTGTTTGTAGTTGACAAAAGTATAATTTTTCACTGATTATGTACTATATTTTCCTCAAAATTAAGAAATTTATACCTACTTATTATTTTGAAGCATTTGGGTATCATTAATAAAGCAAAATCAGAATGTTAGAATGATAACATCTATGAATTTACCTCTCAGAATGGATTTCCTCTGTATTCCACATTTATTATCTTTCTTATGTTACTTTTCTTCAGATAAAACAAATTAGACTAATACACAAAACAGTGTTTAACTAAACATAAGTTTTAATTTATTTTTTCTTTATAATCATGATTCATTTAACAAACGTTTCTTAAGTACCCAGTATATGTCATATGCACTGGCTAGCTGTTGAATATCCTGAGCAGATTTACGTATAGTTTTCTTCTGGAAGGACTGCAGAGAAAAAAGAGATGTAGAAACCAACATTAACACATCGGCAGAGATGTAAAGAGATGTAGAAACTAACATTAACACATAAAAGTTCTGTAGCAGACATGGGAGCAGGTACTGTTATAGCAGAGAGGGGGGAACAACCAGATTTCTAAGGAAGTAGGTAATAGGCTTAAATGATTATTGAACTTTGGCTCATGAGGGAAGTAGGCTGAGGACAGGAAGCAGCATTTGTAAAAGTAGAAAGGGCAGAGTGATTTTAGGAAGGCTGAGAATTTTGAAACTAAAATGGAGAGTGCTTCATGGAAAGGTCGACTAAGGTTGGTATTGAAGTGATAAAATATAAAAGATCATGATGTTTACAGTATCAGGGAGGCAGTTTGGACTGCAGTAGTCAAGAACCTAGACTATTGAGAATAAATCTTGCAGATAAGAGAGTTCATCAATCATATATTTAGTATGTAATCATCTTTGGCAAGTATTTACTTAACCACTGTAATCCTCAGTTTTCTTATATGTACAATAGGAAAATTAACAGGATTGTTATGGACAACTAACTGTTTGGCAGCTTGACAGAGTGAATATGGAATTGGTGTGGGATGAGAGAAAGCTTGAGATTTGAGATGACTGAGATGAGACTGTGTTAGCAAAGAAGAAAACAAAGGAGGCTTTTAAGCAGGCAATGTTGACATTTGAAATAATCATTTTCATTCTGAAAGTGGTGTTTGGTAATTATGGAATATTTGGGGAAAAAGTCTGAACAATTTATTTAAAATAATACAGATCACTATTAGATTAGTTTCTGCTATTAGTTAACAACTATTGTGAGGATAATGGTGACATAATTAAAATAGTCAATGTTCCCTCCAGAAACATTTTATAACTCTACTCTTACCCAAATTCATTTTTGATGTTATGTCACTAATTTGTTGTGGTTTCTTCATTAATGTTTTCTGTACATTTTTGTTGAGTTTATCATTTGGGATTCCTTATTTTTTGTTGCTACTGTAATTGGTATATTCATTCTATTACTAACTATTGTATGTATATAAGAAAGCTATTACATTTGGGGGAAGCTAAGATCATTTTCCTATGAAATAAAGAGATTAGATTAATGATCTTCTAGAGCTCTGACATTCTATGATTCTCTAAATGTAGCTTTTCTTTTTTTAAAAAAAAATGTACTTACAAAGGGCATTTCTGCTCTATAATCATTAATTAAAATTCTCCTGTGTCTTATTTTGTTACTTTTATGGCCTTTAGTACTTTTTAGAGTTTAAATTTTTATTCCATCAGAATCTATTCTTTTTCCCAGGTATTATATAGTGTATTGGTTTGCTAGGATTGCTGTGACAAAGTACCACAAACTGGGTGGCTTAAACAATAGAAATTTAGTCTCATAGTTCTGGAGGCTAGAAGTCCAAAATCAAGGTTGTTCTTCAGGACTGTGAGGGATGTATTTGTTTCATGCCTCTCTCCTTGGCTTCTTTATAACTATCTTCTTTTTTCTCTTTGCATTATCTTCCCTCTATGCATGTCTTTGTGTTCAAATTTCCCCCTTTGGATGAGGACACAGATCATATTGGATTCAGTTTCACCCTAAATACCTCATATGGCTAGGTATATCTGCAATGACCCTGTTTCCAAGTCATATCACATTTTGAGGTACTGGGGGTTAGGACTTCAACATATAAATATTCAGGAGATACAACTCAACCCATAATATTTCTTCAGCATTATTCTTTTCCTCTTTACTATTCATTGTTTCAAAACGATTCATCCAATAATCCATCTTCCTCCCAGTTATTTGGATGCTGCCTTTAAAATGTATGAAATTACTATATGTATTAGGTAGGCATTTTATGGTTTACCTCTTTTTTTCTCCTCATATGCCTGGCTCTGCTTGCTAAAAACAGGATTTTATTTTGTTTTTCCCAAAAACTATTATACAAAACTAGGTGTGGATGTAGTTGTGCACATTATAGCAGAAATTATGAGAATGATCATTTCAGATTGAACAGGAATTTACTATTACAGGGGTTAGTATCATTCAAGGATGTGGCTGTGGATTTCACCCAGGAGGAGTGGCAGCAACTTGACCCTTCTCAGAGGACCCTGTACAGGGATGTGATGCTGGAGAACTACAGCCACCTGGTCTCAATGGGTAAGGATGGCTTCCCTGAATAACTCAGAGTTGTCCAATCAAGTGCCTTTCCTTACTAGTTGCTGTGATTAGATTGTTCCTGACATATGTCATGACTTTTATGACCTTCATACCTTTGCAAATGGAGGTTATGCCTTTGTTGAGGGCTAACTGGACAGCTTTATTGTAGACCATCTGAAACTGCACCTTCTCTTTTTCCTTCAGTGCAGTCAATCTCAATTCTCTGTGATTTCTGTTTAATAGGGTATCCAGTTTCCAAACCAGATGTCATCTCCAAGTTGGAACAAGGAGAAGAGCCATGGATCATAAAGGGAGACATATCAAATTGGATCTATCCAGATGAATATCAGGCAGATGGGAGACAAGGGAAGTGAAATATCAATTTATGTTTTTTTAATTGATTGGTGCCTGAGGTTTATGTTTCTATCCTTATCAAAATCTCCTATTCTTTGCTTCTATGCTGAGAATTTAGTAGTCACTCAACAAGTAATTGTGAAGCCTTTCAGAGGAGTTCTATTTGTTGTTGATCCTGTCTCTTGTGTGTATATATATATGTTTATATTTGTTGTCTTTCCTGAAAGGGTTTTAAAGGCAATAGAAGGCAAATTCCTTTCAAGAACACAAGCTGTGCTTTAAAAGGCAATATTCCCAGATAAATGACTGTATTAAATTAAATGTCAAATACAGTTACTGTTTTAGAAGTTCAGAGAAAATTAAGAGTCTAAAGAGATGTGAGCGTATTTGAGAAACATTTTTCAGAGCATGCAACTGTAACTGCTCTGAATGACATAAATGCTGATGAGGCTGAAGGAGGAGGGTGAAGGCAAGCAGTGTTGGAGAGAGAGTATATGAACAAAACCTTAGGGTCAGGAAGATACAGCTTTTCTGGGAGAACTTTACTAGTTTTACTTGACATGTATAGAAAGTAGTTTATTGGGAGTAGTGGAATTTACGTCTGTATTCTCAGTTTGACTCTGATACTGAATCTGTAGCAGGATATTGGATTTTTCTATTATTTGTTAGTTGTTAGGAAAATAGATGGAGGAGAGTTAAAGTATTTTGCATACAGAAGATACCTTGTTTTTTAGAGTGATGGTAGGATAATAAGAATGTGTAGCACATGATTTATAATATAAATGAAATTAAAAGGTGAAAAGGGGTTTCTATTCAGAAAGCAGAAGTGAAATATTCTAGAAGAATAATCAAAAATTAGTGATGAGACCCCACTTTTTCATCTCTTTTAAGTTTAGTTTTTACATGAATATTTCTGTTTAACATTCTTGTCTGTCTATTCACCTGATAACACTATATGCTGTACTGTCTTCTGAGATGACCTGTTTCCATCCTTTTTTTGTGAGTTCATCTACTATGTTGGATCATCCATTTGTTCTACTTCTTTACCCTCTTAATTGACTCTTGTGATGACTCTTAAATTGTATCTTTTCTTCTTTTAGACAGGAAGAGTAACCTTCACAACTCCCAGTCATGTATTTTGGGGACAGTTTCCTTCCATCATAAGATACTGAAAGGAGTCACAAGGGATGGTTCATTGTGCTCCATTTTAAAAGTCTGTCAAGGTGATGGTCAGCTGCAGAGATTTCTAGAGAATCAAGACAAACTCTTCAGGCAGGTCACATTTGTTAACAGCAAAACAGTGACTGAGGCATCAGGGCATAAATATAATCCACTGGGGAAAATATTTCAAGAGTGCATAGAAACAGATATATCAATACAGAGATTCCATAAATATGATGCTTTTAAAAAGAACTTAAAACCAAATATTGACCTACCGAGTTGTTATAAGAGCAATTCAAGAAAAAAACCTGATCAGAGTTTTGGAGGTGGAAAATCATCTAGCCAGAGTGAGCCCAATTCTAATCTTGAGAAGATTCACAATGGAGTAATACCTTTTGATGATAATCAGTGTGGAAACGTTTTTAGAAATACACAATCCCTTATTCAATATCAGAATGTGGAAACTAAAGAGAAAAGCTGTGTATGTGTTACATGTGGAAAAGCCTTTGCTAAGAAGTCACAACTCATTGTACATCAAAGAATTCATACTGGAAAGAAACCATATGATTGTGGTGCATGCGGAAAAGCCTTCAGTGAGAAGTTTCATCTTGTTGTACATCAGAGAACTCATACTGGGGAGAAACCTTATGATTGTTCTGAATGTGGAAAAGCCTTCTCTCAGAAATCGTCCCTTATTATACATCAGAGAGTTCACACTGGGGAAAAACCCTATGAATGTAGTGAATGCGGGAAAGCCTTCTCCCAGAAATCACCCCTCATTATACATCAGAGAATACATACTGGGGAAAAACCCTATGAATGTAGAGAGTGTGGGAAGGCCTTTTCCCAGAAGTCACAGCTGATTATACACCACAGAGCTCATACTGGAGAGAAGCCGTATGAGTGTACCGAATGTGGGAAAGCCTTCTGTGAGAAGTCCCACCTCATTATACATAAAAGAATTCACACTGGTGAGAAACCCTACAAATGTGCTCAATGTGAGGAAGCCTTCAGCAGGAAGACAGAACTCATTACACATCAGTTAGTTCATACTGGGGAAAAACCTTATGAATGTACTGAATGTGGAAAGACATTCTCCCGCAAGTCACAGCTCATCATACATCAGAGAACACATACTGGAGAAAAACCCTATAAATGTAGTGAATGTGGCAAAGCCTTCTGCCAGAAGTCACATCTCATTGGACATCAGAGAATTCACACAGGAGAAAAACCTTATATATGTACTGAATGTGGGAAAGCCTTCTCTCAGAAGTCCCACCTTCCGGGACACCAGCGAATTCATACAGGAGAGAAACCTTACATATGTGCTGAATGTGGAAAGGCCTTTTCTCAGAAGTCAGACCTTGTTTTACATCAGAGGATTCATACTGGGGAAAGACCCTATCAATGTGCTATATGTGGGAAGGCCTTCATCCAGAAGTCACAACTAACTGTACACCAGAGAATTCACACAGTGGTAAAATCATAATGAACTGGCCACAGAAAAGCCTTAGTATTAGCTCAAGCCTTAATAATTACTAGAAACCCAATTAATTTGATAAGCTTGGGGACAACATCCCAATAGATAAAAATTTTTAAGGGAATTTGTTTCTAGTTTGGTGATGCCTAACTTTTCCAGCAAAGATGATGGAAAATAGTTATATAAATGAAGAACATTTTTAATATGGCATGTAAAGCTTTTAAAGTTATGAACTCAGTGATCAGCACAGCAAGTTAAGCATACAGAATATTGTCAAGTTGCATATTCCTTATACTACAAAATGATAATCAGCCATTGTGAAACTGCTAATATTAGCTTGTCATAATTATGGCCATAAACTAATTTTTCTATAAAAGACGTGGAAGAAAGCTTAAGTAAACAATAAAATAAAACCTATACACTATTTTAAGAAGGGGCTTGAGCATGACCCCTAAAGCTACATGTAAAGTTCTTGTACAAAAAATGGAATGATAGGTTGATCAGATTCAGTAAAGTTGATCTGTATGCATTTTCCCATCTCAAGCATATAAGTTGACCTGCATCTCTGGAAGGACCTTGAGATTGATGCATTTTGAGCAGGTCTCCCTTTTACTCTTCCCAACTGGGAACTTGGAGCTGAAAAACATTGGCACTGAGGCCAGATGGCCTTGGGTTTAATCCTGGCTCAGTGCCTCACAGATTGTGTGACTTTAGGCAAACATACTTCTCCTAGCTGAGTATTTTTTATCAGTAAGTACAAATACAATGCAGAGCTCATTTTCAGTTAATATTAGTACTTTTTAAATCTTTACTCTCTATCTTGAAGCATTAGATGTTAAGACTAATGTGTAAAAACCACGTCTGAGCTTGCTTTTCCCTCTGGACACTCTGCTTTTGATTGCCTATCCCTATAAGTGGCTCATTTTACTGTCTTCTGATCCTGGTGGCCTTATTTTTGCTATGTTAAGGTTGTGTTTTTTAATACTTGGATTTATTTTCATATACTTACATAAACCGTGGTGATTGCACATAAAGACCCTGCCTAATGTCTCTTCACTTCTTTGTGATCCTTTCCCTGAAGCCCCAACTGTTTGCCCTGAAAACTTACAGGGGAAAACTCTTGGTGTGAGAAGTAATGCCTGTATAGCCTTGAGAACTGGAGGCCTCTAAGATAACACCTACTATCTGTCATTCCATCCATTCCCCCATAAGCATTTTTAGATGAGCACCCTTGCTGGAAGTGACCTGCAGGAGAGCATACTTGGCAAGGATGAGAATACCTGTGTGATAAACACAGCATCTGCACATATTTCCTGCTTGATTTCCTATCCACTTGATCCCCTTCCTGCTTGGCTAAACTGTCTGTTGTGAAAACATGGGGCTCCTCTAGTTGAGAACAACTGTAGAGTAGAGGGCACACTGGACAGGGATGTGGGAACTGAGAATTAAAGATGCCATTCACTGGACAGGGATGTGGGAACTCAATGTTAAAGATATCACTCCCCCCACATCCCAGGTGATTTATATATTGTTGGGGTGGGAAAAGAGAAATCCAAAAGAGCAAACCCATTCATAAAATGGATCTGCTAATTTTATTGTTGAATAACAGAAATAAAAATACTATGTAGCATTTGGGTAGCTAGCACATGGCTATAAAACTAGTGGATTTTTAGCTCTATTTATATGGAACTGAAGCTACAGTTGTGTGGAACTAAGCTTCCCCTCTGTTGGTAAATGGCAGATACCTAGTTTTCATCAATAGTTACATTGAGCTTACTCTGATGTCTTGTTTTGCATAATTCTTTTATCAGGCTTACTCTGATGGTCTGTTCTTTATATATTTTTTAATCTGTGCATCCTATGGTTGCCCTGACAGTGTATCTAATACGTGTGATTAGTCATATTCTTCACTCCTCAACAAAATTACATCAGTTTTTCACAGTAGTCAATGAACCTTATATCAACACCTCAACAACCTTTTTTATAAAAATCTTATAATTTGGTTCTAAAATGATATACAGAAATGCCCCAAGGCAAGAGTAGCTAAGACACTTTTGAAGAACAAATTTGGATAACTTATTAGACTTCTTATAAAACAGTGGTAATTAAGGCAATGTGGTGTTACACGAGTAATCATGTAGATCAATGGTAAAAGAGAATCTGAAAACTGATAATTACCTGTAGACACTTGAATTATGACAAAGTTGGCATTCTAGAACAATGGGAGGAAACTCACCTTTTCAGTAATGCCTCTGGCTCAGTTATCCAAATGGGTAAAACAAAGAAAAAACAAATTTACTGCATACCATTCACAAAATTTACTCTGCCTAAACCTATAATAGAGGACAATGTATAGCAGTAAGTATAGATCAGGCAAAAAGAAAGCCTGAAAATACCTAAGCAACAGTCTCAATAGGTTAGAATAAAAAAACGCTGTGATCTAACTCCAAAAAAATAAAAAGGACATGATAAAAATAAAAGAAGATGAAGAAATAGGAAAACACACAAAATAGGAACAACAAAACAAGAAAATTGTGGCTCATGTCCGTAATCCCCATACTTTAAGAGGACAAGGTGGGAGGACACCTTGACCCCAGGAGCTCAAGGCTGCAGTGATTGCACCACTGCACTCCAGCCTGGGTGACAGAATGAGACCCTGTCTCAAAAAAATGTATTGTAGATTGAAAAAATAATAAACCTTTAAGTAAACTGGGAATAAAGGGCAGCCTCCTCAAATAGTTAAAGGGCATAGATAAAAAACCTACAGTAAACATCATATTTAATGGCTGGAAAAAGGCAAGAATATTTACTTGACTCTTTCTAGTTAACATTACACTGGTGAATTTAGCCAGTGCAATAAGAAAAGCAAAGTAGGGAGTGGGCTTGCAACCTGGAAAGGAAGAGATAAAAGTGTTGTTATTTGTAGACAACATATCCTTCTATGTAGAAGATCTCAAAACTGCACAAAATATTTACTAGACCTAATAAACAGGTTTTGCAAAATATCTAAATAATTTGGAGAGATTAATTAAAACTCAGATATTCTGATTCTAGAGTCTACACACTTAACAATTATGTTATGCTGCCTCTCCTGCCTCCCTTTCCCTTCTGTAATTAACACAGTTAATCTTCCACACCGTTTTCTGAATTGGTTCATGATACATGATGCTTGCATGCAGATGCTCCTATTATTTAGCCAAACTTCAATATTGAAAAAAAAAAACTCCATAAAAACACTTAATGTCACCATTTAATAAAAAATTTAATCTTAATCCTTATGTTTTAGTGTTCAAAAATGACTTATACATCCTGACAGTGAGATAGTTTATTGGGAATACAGACCTATGATAATCATGTTGGATCTTTAAATGAGTTAAGATGATTCTTATCTGCAGAACATTGGGGATGTGATTGATGCTAAATATTCAGTGAATGCCCTGAGCTTTGACCCTGTAGGATTGGAAAGTATAGAAATTTAGTCCCTTGGGAGTTGTGTTCTGGTTGATGATACTCTTTTTTTGCTAGTTTGCCAAAAAATTAAAAGATCCTGGCCCTGGATTTTGTTGTTGAGAAGACCAACAGGAAGCTTGATTTAATGTCTAACACTGCTTTGAAATTCCACATCTACGGAAAATCTCAGCGTGTTCATGGATGTGGCTGCCTGAAAAGTGCCATATCATACACAATTACAGCTGCCAGAGATAGGCCAAAATCAGTGCCTGTCATTGGAATGGCTACATGGTCATCTGCTGGCAAAACATGGTCATGTTCATATTGTCTCTTTTACTATACATGAAGTGGCACAATATAACTTGGCAGTAGATTGGGAAAAGCTAAAAATGTGTAGTACAAATGCTAAACCACTAAAATAACAAAACAGAGTTATAGCTTAAATCCAAAAAGAAGAGAAGTAATCATAACAAATAATCCAAAACAAGGTAGAAAAAGAACAAAAAACAGAACAAATAGAAAACAAAATGATAGTCTTAATCTAATGATATACTCAGATTAAACATAAATGATCTAAAGACACCAATTAGGGGAAGAGATTGTCATATTAGATAAAAACGCAGAGACTATATGCTGCCTACAAGAAACACACTTTAAATGTAAAGACATAAATGGATTCAAAGTAAAAGAATGGAAAAAAGATATACTATGATAACACAAAAGAAATCTGGAAGGCCTATGTTAATATCAGATAAAATATATTTCAGGATAAATACTAACTAAGAGATTTTTAAAAGACCAGTTCATAGTGATAAAGGAATCAGTTTATCATGAGAACATAATCCTAAACACTTATGCACTTAATAGCAGAGCTTCACCATACATGAAGCAATAACTGATAAAACTTCAAAGGAAAAATAGACAAATCCACAATTACAGTTAGAAATTTCAATACATTCTCACTAATTGAGAGAATGAGAAGATAATTAGTAAGGTTATAGTAGGTAGACTTGAACAGCAAAATCAACCAATTTGACCTAGTTGACATTTGTAGAACATCCCACCCCAAAATGGTACAATACACATTTTTAAGTCCATGTGAAGCATTTACCAAGACAGAGCAATAAATTTAAAAGGTAAGGTGACTCATTCTCATGTGATTCTAATTTAATTCATTAGAAATCAATTACATTAGAAATAAATAACATGAAAATATGTGGAAAATACCAAATATATGGAAAGTAATAACACATTTCTAAATAACCCATTAGTCAAAGAATGAATCAAAAAGGAAATGAAGCATTTTGAACTTAATGAAAATAAAAACACAACTATATCAACATTTGTGAAATGTCCGTAAAGTAGTTCTTAAAGAGAAATTTAAAGTGCTAAAGGAATGCATTAGAAAAGAAGAAAAGTCTCAATGAATCAGTTTCTACCTTAAGAAGATAGGAGTAGGAAAAAATGAAATGCATTATAAACAGCAGAATGATTGGTTCAAAGCATAAATTAAATAGAAAAAAAGAAAATACATCAAAAGCTGACTGTTTGAGAAGATAGATATGTCAGACTCAGGAAAAAAGAGAGGACACAATTATTCAAATCAGAAATGAGAGAAGTGACATTACTACAGACTTTACAGACATACAAAAAAATAATAAGGGAAGATTATGAACATCTTAATACCAATAAACTTGATAACAGATGAAGTGGACAAATCCTTTGAAAGATACAAACTACCACACCTTACTCGAGAAGAAATAGATATTAACATAAATAGTCCTATATCAATTTTTAAAATTCAACTTGTAGTGTAAAACCTTATCAAATTCAGGATCATAGACCTTCACTGGTGAACTGTCTCAAACCAAACAATATTTAAAGAGGCAACAATTCAAATTCTATACAAGCTTTTCCACAAAATTGAAGAGGAAGGGATAGTTCCCAATTCATTATATTAGGTCAGCATCACCATGATACAAAACCAGAAGATATTATAAGAAAATAAAACTACAGACCAATATCCCTCATAACTATTGATGCAAAAGTCTAAACAATAATATCACATTATATAAAAAGGATAATACATCAAGACCCAAGTAGGTTTTCTCTCAGAAATGCAAGGTTAGATTAACATTTGAAAATCAATCAATGTAAGTCACCACATTAGCAAACAAAAAGGGAAACCATATTATCTCAAAAGATGAAAAAAAGTATTTGACAAAAATCATCTAAAAAGGAACTTCTTCATAGATAAAAAGGAAGTGAAAACCCTACAGTTAATATCATATAGTGAAAGACTGAGTGTTTTTTTAAAATAAAGAACAAAGCAAGGATGTCTTCTCTGTCATTTCTAGTGATCAATATACTGGAGGTCCAAGGCAGTACAATAGCCAAAAAATGGCATTCAGTTTGGAAAAAAAGAAGTAAAACTCTATTTGCAGATGATATGCTAGTTGATATGGTTTGGCTGTGTCCCCACCCAAATCTCATCGTGAATTGTAGCTCCCACAATTCCCACATGTTGTGGGAGGGACCTGGTGAGAGGTAATTGAATTATGGGAGCAGGTCATTCCTGTGCTATTCTTGTGATAGTAAATAAGTCTCATGAGCTTTGATGGTTTTATAAAGGGGGAGTTTCCCTGCACAAGTTCTCTTCTCTTGTCTGGCACCATGTGAGATGTGCTTTTCACCTTCTGCCATGATTGTGAGGCCTCCCCAGCCATGTGGAACTGTGAGTCCATTAAATCTCTTCCTTTTGTAAACAGCAGAGTCTTGGGTATGTCTTTGTCAGCAGCATGAAAACGAACTAATACGGTCATGTATGTAAAAAATTTTAAATCTTGAAAAAAAATACTAACAACTAATATTTGAGATTAGTAAGATCTTAGGATACAAGGTCAATAGACAAAACTCCACAATAAACAATCAGAAATTGAAATTTGAAAACAATACTACTTGCAATAGCATTTAAATATGAAACATGAATAGACATAATAAAATATGTGACAATTATAGAACATTGCTGAAAGAAATTTAGAAGGACCAAAATAGAGAAATAGATCTAGTTTATTGGTTGGAAGGCTCAATGTTGTTAAGATATTAATTCTCCCCAAATTCGTCCATAGATTTAACACAATCTCTATCAAAATATCAGCCAATATTTTTTGTGTAAAATTCAATGAACTGCCTTAGCTGTGTCTCAGAGATTCTGGTATGTTGTATCTTCGTTTTCATTAGTTTCAAAGAACTTCTTGGTTTCTGCCATAATTTCATTATTTACCCCATAGTCATTCAGAACCATGTTAATTTTCATGGTTTTGAGTGATTTTCTCAGTCTTGACTCCTATTTTTATTATTCTGTGGTCTGAGAGTGTGTTTGGTATAATTTTCGTTCTTTTGCATTTGCCAAGGATTGTTTTATGTCAAATTATGTGGCCAATTTTAGAGTGTGCACCATGTGGCAATGAGAAGAATGTATATTCTGTTATTTTTGGGTGGAGAGTTCTATAGATCCATTCTATCAGATCCATTTGGTCCAATGTTGAGTTTGGGTCCTAAATATCTTTGTTAATTTTCTGCCTCAATGATCTATCTAACAATATCAGTGGAGTGTTAGAGTCTCCCACTTTTATTATGTGGGAGTCTGTGTCTCTTTGTAGGTCTCTAAGAACTTGCTTTTTTTGTGTTGGCTGCATTTATATTTAGGATAGTTAGACCTTCTTGTTGAATTGAACCCTTTACCATTATGTAATGCCCTTCTTTGTCTTTCTAAATCTTTGCTGGTTTAAAGTCTGTTTTTCGTTTGTTTGTTTGTTTTTTCTTGTCTGAAATCAGAATTGCAATCCCTGCTTTTTTCTGGTTTTCATTTGCTTGGTAAATTTCCCTCCATCCCTTTTTTTTGAGACTATGGGTGTCATTATGTGTGATATGCTCTTGAAGACACCATACCATTGGGTCTTGCTTTTTTATCCAGCGGGCCACTCAGTGCCTTTTAAGTGGAGGCACTTAGCCCATTTACATTCAAGGTTATTGTTGATGTGTGTCATTGTGCTCTTAGCTGGTTATTATGCTGGCTTGTTGGTGTGGTTGGTTTATAGTGTTACTGGTCTCTGTATTTAAGAGTGCTTTGGTATTAGCTGGTAGGAGTCTTTCCTTTCTATAGTTAGCACTCCTTTCAAGACCTCATGTGAGGCAGGTTTAAATCTTTCCTGGCTTGTAAGGTTTCAGCTGAGAGGTCCACTGTTAGCCTGATGAAGTTTTCTTTGCAGGTGACCTGTCATTTCTCTCTAGCTGCCTTTAACAGTCTTTTTTTTTTTTTTTTCATTTTGACCTTGAAAAACCTGACAATTATGGGTCTTGGTGATGATCTTCTTCTGTAGAATCTTGCAGGAGTTCTCTGTAGTTCCTGAATTTAATTGTTGGCCTCACTAGCAAGGTTGGGGAAGTTTTCATGGATGATAGCCTGAAATACATTTTCCAAGTTGTTTGCTTCCTCCCTTTGAAGAATGCCAATGATTCATAGATTTAGACACTTTACATAACTCCATACTTCTTGGAGGTTTTGTTCATTCCTTTTAATTCTTTCCTATTTATTGTTGTCTGATTGTCTCATTTCAGAGAGCCAGTCTTCAAGTTCTGAGATTTTTTCCTCTACTTGGTCTATTCTGTTGTTATTACTTGTGATTGCATTGTGAAATTCTTGTATTGTGTTATTCAGCTCTGTCAGATCCATTAAGTTGTTTTATACCAGCTATTTCATCCTTCCACTCCTGTATTGTTTTATTTTGATTCTTAGTTGTCTTGGATTGGGTTTTGTTGTTCTCCTGAATCTTCATGATCTTTGTTTCTGTCCATATTCTGAATTGCATTTCTGTCATTTCAGCCAGCTCAACCTAATTCAGAACTCTTGTGCAGTGTTAAGAGGGGAATTCATAGCACTAAATGCCCACATCAAAACATTAGAAAGATCTCAAATTAACAACCTAACATCACAATGGAAAAAATTAGAGAAGCAAGAACAAATCCACTCCAAAGCTATCAAAAGACAAGAAATAACCAAAATCAGAGCTGAACTGAAGGAAATCAAGACACAAAAAAAATCATTCAAAAGGTCAATAAATCCAGTAGTTGGTTTTCTTGAAAAAATTGAAAAGAAAGATAGGTCACTAGCTAGACTAATAAAGAAAAAAAGAGGAAACATCAAAATAAACACAATTAGAAATGATGAGGAGAATGTTACCCCTAACCCCATAGGAATAAGAATAACCATCAGAAACTACTTTGAACATCTCTATGCACACAAACTAAAATATCCTAGAAGAGATGGGTAAATTCCTAGACGTATACATGCTCCCAAGATTGAACCAGGAAAAAATTGATTTCCTGAACAGACCAATAATGAGCTCTGAAATTGAATCAGTAACAAGTAGCCTACCAACCAAAAAAAGCCTAGGACTTCATGGATTCACAGGTGAATTCTACTGTATGTACAATGAAAAGCTGGTACCATTCCTACTGAAACTATTCCAAAAAATTGAGGATGAGGGACTCCTCCCCAATTCATTCTATAAAAACAGCATAATTCTGATACCAAAACTTGGCAAGGACACAACAAAAAAAGAAAACTTTAGGCCAATATTGATACACATTGATGCAAAAATCCTCAACAAAATATTTGCAAACCAAATCCAGCAGCACATCAAAAAGCAATACACCACGATCAAGTAGGCTTCATTCCTGGGATGTGAGTTTGCTTCAACATAAGAAAATAAATAAATGTGATTCATCACATAAACGGAACTAAAGACAAAAGCCACATGATTATCTCAATAGATGAAGAAAATGCTTTCAATAAAATTCAACATGCTTTCATCTTAAAAGCTCTCCATAAAATAGATATTGAAGAAACATACCTCAAAATACTAAGAGCCATCTGTGACAAACAGCCAACATCATACTGCATGGGCAAAAGCTGGAGACATCTTCCTTGAAAACTGGCACAAGACAGGATACCCTCTCTCACCACTCTTCAACATAATATTGGAAGCCCTAGCCAGAGCAATCAGGTAAAAGAAATAAAGAGCATCCAAAGAGGAAGGGAAGAAGTAAAACGATCTCTGTTTGCAGATAGCACGGTTCTATATCTAAAAAACCCCATAGTCTCAGCTCAAAAGCTTCTTTAGCTAATGAACAACTTTAGCAAGTTTCAGGATGCAAAATCAGTTTACAAAAATCAGCAGCATTCCTATACACCAACAACAGCCAAGCCAAGAGCCAAATCAGGAAGGCAATCCCTTTCACAATTGCCATAAAAATAATAAAATACCTAAGAATACAGCTAACCGGAGAGGTGAATGATCTCTACAATAAGAATTACAAAACAATGCTCAAAGAAATCAGAGAAGATGCAAGCAAATGGAAAAACATCCCATGCTCATGGATAAAAATAATATCATTAAAATGGGCGTACTTCCCAAACCAAATAACCGATTCAATGCTATTCCTACCTAATTACCAAGGATATTCTTCAGAGAACTATTTTTAAAAATCAATTTTAAAATTCATATGGAAGACAAAAAGATCTCAAGTAGCCAAGGCAATCCTACACAAAAAGAACAAAGCTGGAGGCATTATGTTACCCAACTTCAAACTATACTACAGTGCTGCAGTAACCAAAATGGCTTGGTACTAGTACAAAAACAGGCACATAGACCAATGGAACAGGATAGAGAGCTCCAAAATAAGGCTGCACACCTGGGACCATCTGATCTTCAACAAAGCTGACAAAAGCAATGGGAAAAAGACTCCCTATTCAATAAATGGTGCTGGGTTAATAAACTGGCTATCCATATAAAGAAGATTGAAGCTGAACCCCTTTCTTACACCATATACAAAAATTAACCAAGATGGATTAAAGACTGAAATGTTAAACCCAAAACTATAAACATTCTGGAAGACAACCTAGGCAATACCATCCTGGATATAGGAATGGGCAAAGATTTAATGACAAAAACACCAAAAGCAATCATGACAAACGTGACAGTTGACAAATGGGATCTAATTAAACTACAGAGTTTCTGCACAGCAAAAGAAACCATCAACAGAGTAAATAGATAACCTACAGGGTGGAGAAAATATTTGCAAACTATGAGTCTGACAAAGGTCTAATATCCAACATCTATAAGGAACTTAAACAAATTTACAAGAGAAAAACAACCCCATTTAAAAAGTGGACAAATGACATGAATGGACACTTCAAAATAAGACATACATGTGGCCAACAATCATATTTTAAAAAGCTAAATATCACTGATCATTAGAGAAGTGTAAATCAAAACCACAATGAGATAACATCTCATACCAGTTAAAATGGCTATTACTAAAAAGCCAAAAAATTACAAATGCTGGCAAGGTTGTGGAGAAGAAAGAACATTTATACACGGTTGGTGAAAGTGTAAATTAGTTCAACTATTGTGGAAAGCAGTATGGTGATTCTTCAAAGAGCTAAAAGCAAAACTACCATTCAAATCAGCAATCCCATTACTGGGTATATACCCAGAGGAATATAAATCATTCTACTGTGAAGACATATGCATTCAAATATTCACTGCAACTCTACTCACAATAGCAAAGACATGGAATCAACCTAAATGCTCAGCAATGACAGATTGGATAAAGAAAATGTGGTACATATACACCATGGAATACTATGCCGCCATAGAAAAGTATAAATATAAGTATAAAGTATAAATATAAAGTATAAAGTATATTTTTCCTTATGAAAAATATTTAATTTTATCAAATGCTTTTTCTGAATCTATTGATATGATAATATGGCTTTTGTCCTTCATTCCGTTAATGTGATATATCACATTATAGATTTATAGATTTGTGAATATTGAACCATCTTTGTATTCCTGGAATAAACTCCACTTGATTGTGGTGAGCGATCCATTTAATATACTGTTACATTTGATTTCATGGTATTTTGTTGAGGATTTTTGCATCTATGTTCATCAGGGATATTAGCTTACAGTTTTCTTTTCTTGTAGTGTCTTTATCTGGATTTGGTTTCAGAGTAACGCTGACCCTATAAAATCAGTTTGGAAGTGTTCCTTCTTCTTTAATTTTTTTTGAAGAGTTTGAGAAGAATTGGTACTATTTCTTTACATACTTTGTAGAATTTAGTAATGAAGCCATCAGGTCCTGGGCTTTTCTTTGGTGGGAGACTTTTTCTTACTACTTTCATCACCTTACTTATTATTGGTCTTTTCAGATTTTATATTTCTGCATGTTTCAGTCTTGGTAGGTTGTATGTGTCTAGGAATTTATTCACTTCTGGTGGGTTATTAAATTTGATGGCCTATAATTGTTCATAGTAGTCTCATAATCCTTTGTATTTCAATTGTAATGTAATGTATTTCAGGTATTCCAACTCATTTCTGATTTTGTCTTCTTGCTTTTTTTCTTAGTCTAGCTAAGGGTTTGTCAATTTGTTTATCTTTTCAAGAAACAAATGTAGTTTATTTGATCTTTCTATTGTTTGTCTTGTTTCTATTTTATTTATTTCAGCTCTGATCTTTATTATTTCCTTCTTTCTACTACTCTAGGCTTAGTTTTTCTTATCTTTTTAGTTCCTTGAGGTATAACACTACGTTGTTTTTTTGAGATCTTTATCTGTGGTGTAGGCATTTATTGCTATAAACTTTTCTTTTAGAACTGCTTTTTCATTAGTGCGCAATAGAGTATTATTTAGAAAAAGAACTGCTTTTCCTGCATTTCTTATATTTTGATATATTTTGTTTCCACTTTAATTTGTCTGAAGATATTTTTTAGTTTTCCTTTAAATTTATTCATTGATCCATTGGTTGTTAGCATGCTGTTTAATTTCCATGAAATATGTAGAAATTCCCAAAATTCCTTCTGTTATTGATTTCTAGTTTCATACCATTTTGGCTGGAAAAGATAATTGAAATAATTTTAATCCTTTTGTATTTGTTATTTCTTGTTTTGTGAACACACGATCTATATTGGAGAATATTCTATGTGCACTTGAAAAGAATGTATATTATGCTGCTTTTGGATGAAATTTTCTGTATATGTCTGTTAGGTCCCTTTGGTCTAAAGTGTAGTTTAAGTCTGATGTTTCCTTATTGATTTTCTGTCTGGATAATCTGTCCATTGTTGAAGCTGCGGTAGAGAAGTCCTTTACTATTTTTGTATTGCAATCTATATCTTCCTTCAGATCTATTCATATTTGCTCCATTCATCTAAGTGCTCAGATGTTGGTTGCGTATGTATTCACAATTGTTATATCTTCTTGATGAATTGATTCCCTGATGGTTACATAGCAATTTTGTCTCTTTTTGAAGTTTTGACTTAAAGTTTATTTTATCTGATATAAGTATAGGCACTCCTGCTCTCTTGGTTTTTATTTACATGGTTTATCTTTTTTCATCCTTTCACTTTCTTTCCATATGACTTTCAGTTATAAAGTTGAAGTGAGTCTCTCTTAGCAGCATACAGTTGGGTCACTTAAAAAAATCATTTATTCACTCTCTCTTTTGATTGAAGAATTTAATCTATTTACATTCAAGATAATTATTGATAAGTAAGAAGTTAGTACTATCATTTTATTATTATTTTCTGGTTGTTCTGTAGATTCTTTGTTCCTTTCTTCCTCTCTTGCTATCTTTTTTAGTGGTTAGGTGATTTTCTTTACAGCATACATTGATTCTTTTTCTTTTTTTTTTCTTTTTTTTGAGACAGGGCCTCATTCTGTCCCCCAAGCTGGAGTTCAGTGTCATGATCATGGCTCACTGCAGCCTCGACTTCCCAGACTGAGATCATGGCTCACAGCAGCCTCAACTTCCCAGACTCAGGTGAGTCTCCCACCTCAGCCTCCTGAGTAGCTGGGACTACAGGTGGGTGCCACCACACCTGTGTAATTTTTGTATTTTTTGCAGAGACAGTGCTTCATTATGTTTCTCAGGCAGTCAATAACTCCTGGGCTCAAGGGATCCAGGCCACCACGGCCTCCCAAAGTGTTGGGATTACAGGGTGAGCCACTGTGCCTCGCTGATTCCTTACTTTTTATCTTTTGTGTTAGTAATATAGGTTTTTGCTTTGTGGTTTTCCTAAGGCTTATATAAAATATCTTACACCGATTATGCTATTTTAACTGGATAGCAACTTATCTTTGATCACATTAAAAAACTCTAATCTTTTACTGCCCCTCTCCCACATGTTGTTGTTGATATTGCTGTTTACATCTTTTTGTATTGTGTAGTCCTTAAATTATTGCAGTGATGATATTGCTATTATTATTTTTAATAATTTTATCTTTTAACTTTTATACTAAAGATATAGGTGATTCACACACCACCATGATAGTATTAGGGCATTTTGAATTCTATTGTGTTCTCACTTTCACCAGTTTTTTTATACTTTCATATGTTTTTATGTTACTAGTGTCCTTTTCCTTTAGCTTGAATAACTCTCTTTAGCATTTTTTTGTAACACAGGTCTGGTGATGATAAACTCCCTCAGCTTTTGTTTGTCTGGGAAAGCCATTATCTCTTCTTTGTTTCTGAAGCACAGTTTGCCAGGTACAGTATTCTTGTTTGGCAAATTTTCACGTTCAGCACTTTAAATATATCATCCCACTCTTTCCTGGCCTGTAATTGGAACTCCTTATCTGTTATATGCTTCTTTTCTCTTGCTTTCAAAATTCTCTTTAACTTTTGACAGTTTGATTATATCTTGGTGTCATCTTGTTTGAATTGAATCTGGGGAGACCTTTGGCCTTCCCATACTTGGATATTTAAAAATCGAAGCTATTTTTTTTTTTTTTGATATGGAGTTTCGCTTTTGTCACCCAGGCTGGAGTGCAATGGCATGATCTTGGCTCACTGCAACCTCCACCTCCCAGGTTCAAGCGATTCTCCTGCGTCAGCCTCCTGAGTAGCTGGGATTACAGGCATGTGCCACCACGCCAGGCTAATTTTTGTATTTTTAGTAGAGACGGGGTTTTACCACATTGGACAGGCTGGTCTCAAACTCCTGACCTCAGGTGTTCTGCCCACCTCAGCCTCCCGAAGTGCTGGGATTACAGGCATGAGCCACTGTGCCCAGCCCAACCATTTTTTAATAACTGAAGACGTTTGAAATCAAGGACAACACAAAGCAAAGGCACAGTTGTTTTGTTTCAGTGATGATTAACTTCCATGAGGTACTCTTTATGAAAATATGAAACATTTTCCCACATGAAAAGTGAAAGTTATTTAACATGTTGAGTGATACAGTTGAATATGATAGCAAGAAGGTATACTCTGGACAACTTAAAAGCGGGTTCCCATTGGGAGGGCTTTCCTGGCCTGGGTGAGTGATGTGACCTAGATACATGACCTAGGAGGACAGGAGGCTGCAAGTTGGACTTACAGATGGACCTCTGCATAGGGCAAACTATCACAGGCAACACTCAGTGGGAGTGTGTGGTTCCTGAGAAGGTTAGTGTCTGTATAAAGGATATATATCTTTAGGATGTTTCTAGAAAACTGGAGAGAAAGATTTACTAAAATAAACCCAGGTTCTTAATTTCGGTTTAAGCATAAATTTCTACAATTTTTCAGGTGCCTTATGAGTTTTTGCAGATATACCCACAGACACTTAAATGAACGAAACAAGGAACAACAAACAGGACACTTGCTACACATGCCGAGGACCCTCACTTTAGGAATATGTAGAAAACAATGTGGCATTTTCAAATGGATAAAAAGCTGTTCATATCTCCCACAATTGACTGAATGTTCTAAGCTTAAATAAACAATTATACAAATAATGACAGTGAAGTCATACAAAACTATTTAATTAATGTATATTCAATTATAAATCCAAAGACAGGAATTTTAATGGTTCAGATGACTCCAGTTTGCCCATCCACTAGCAAGCACACATCTTATATAGGGAAGAAAGTGGGAGACTAGAGCCTGCTGATCCCTCAACTAGTCTTAGGTCTTGCCTGCTGCTCACGTTTATGAGCAGCTTTTCATTCTGAGGGTAATTCTTGAGTTTAAGACACACCTTAGTCTTACAATATACTGCTTCAACACAAGCTATCTTTTTATCTGGTACTCAGCTGAAGAAGCCACCCTAAGAAGTAAGTGTACCCTTGAATTTTACCTTGGGCTCTTTCTCTGGAATCTCATGCCTTGGCCTACCCCATCACAATGAGCTGTGACCCACACTATGTTTTATAAAAAGTGATCTTAGCTGTTGCTTCTATCCTTAGTGTTCATTGTGTATTTTCACTGTAGAAAGTTTCTAAATACTTACATATTTCTGGGCCTTGTGGAATTCTCTGGAGTACTCTTGAGGTATTTCTCATGGCAGGCCAGCTGCAAGAGAGTGGGTAGGGAATGTGAGCCTTGTGGAAGTTATACCCCCAGTGCCTAGCCAGCACAGTGCCTGGCCAGACTAAGTACTTGGCAAGCATTACTTTTTAAATGGATGAATGAATACATTGCTTTCATTCAAAGAGGTTAATGATGACATATTCTTAACACATGAATAATTCTTTAGTGCTTAAATTACCAATAAATGCAAAGAGAATCTGAAAACAAAGATTTTTCTAATTTTTCTGATTGACACTGGTGTTTCAATGCACATTTATGTAATACAGACCTCATCTACATTTCTTACTTCTGATGGAAGCAAGTAAGCCAGTTTAACAAAAATAAACACTGGCATGCAATTAAATTTTTGGATAACCTGCACATCCTTGGAAGCTTCATTTACCTTTCCCTTTTTACTCATTACCTTTTCTTATGCATCTAACACTGACATCCATCTCAGCTACCATCAGCATTTTGGATTTTTCTTACTGATATGAACATTTTTATGCAGTTGTTTTTAGAATTTCAAGAGTCAAGAGTGACCTAAGTAATTACTAGGTGTTTTAACCCCTAGTGTGTATTTTTGCATAATTTAAAGATTCCAAGTCATTGAATTTTGCTAGTATTTTTTCATTTGCTTCATTAAATCAATTATACCTCTTGTAAAAAGTAAACTTTGTTTTCCTTAGAGCCCTGGAAACCAACAGGTATACCCACATTGCAGCCACTTATTTCTTTCTTACTGAAAGAATCCTAAGAGACAATAATAATTATTCTCATAACAAATTTTAAATAATAATAATATAACAACAATAATTATACATTTATCTTTTCCAATAATAATAATTACACAATAATAATAATTATATAGACCTTATAACAGTAATAAATATACATATTTGGATGCACAAATCAGATGTATTCAGAATTGGGAATACCCTTCAGTTTTACTACAATTCTACAAATTACCTATATCTAAATGGATAAAGATAAATTCTAAATAAATTTCATAGTGATGAGCTCAAAAAGTAAACCCTTTCTATGTTTTTATTTTAAGTGGAAAGTAATATGGCAAAAAAAGGTGGGAAGATGAGGAGAGAGGAGGAGGAGCTGGAAGAGAGGAAGAGAGGAAGGAAGAGGTAGAGGAAGGAAGAGAGAAGAAGGGTAGTCATTTATTCCTGAAGACAATAATGGTGGTAAAAATTCATAGCAATGGCAACAAACACATGGAGCCCTGTCCTAAGTATGTCACATCTATTGATTTGCATATCTTTCACCACAATCTCATGAGGTAGAGAGTATTATTACTCCCATTTTACAGATCAGGAAGCTGAGTCAGGAAGTTGGGATCACTATTTGTACTCTCTAGCCTCACAAAGTTAGGAAGCATTAACAACAACAACAACAAAAAAAAAAGTTTACTATTTCCAAACTTTAAACTTACTAAAATCAGTGAAGATTTTTTTTTCTCACCTGAGCTGGGCCTTGCTATTTCTAGGGCTTGCGGAGCTGATCTGTATTTCTTTGTCTTGCTTTTCTCTCAGGATCCTTTCAGCAAGCAAGAGGTACGTGGCTGTGGTTTGGGTACACTTGTTGGTTTCTAGAGCTCTGAGGAAAACAAGGCTTGCTTTGTACAAGAAGCAAAATTGATTTAAACATGCAAACAAAAAAGTATAAGCAAATGAAATTCAATGACCTGAAATCTTTAAGTTATGCAAAAATGCAAACTAGGAAACTAAAACACCTAGTGGTTATTTAGGTCACCCGTGAAATTCTGAATAATAAAAAATAAAAATGAGGTAATTATTCAGAGGGCTTCATAAGGTTGCAGAGTGAAGTCACTGCCCTATAGGGTTAGCAAGCATGGTACCCAACCTATCCTCAGGTGTCACTGTCTTAAAACCTATGTGATCCTGGGCAGGCTACTTACCCTCTCTGTGTTTTGATTTCTTCATCTTTAAAAGGGGAATAATAATAACACCTACTACATTAGGGTTCTCTAGAGGGACAGAACTAATAGATGTATATATAAAGGGGAGTTCATTAAGGAGTATTGACTCACATAATCACAAGGTGAGGTGCCACAGTAGGCCGTGTGCAAGCTAAGGAGCAAGGAAGCCAGTCTGAATACCAAAGCTGAAGAACTTGAAGTCTGATATTCGATGGCAGGAAGCATTCAGCATGAGGGAAAGATGTAGGCCGGAAGACTAAACCAGTCTAGTCTTCCCACGTTCTTCTGCCTGCTTTAATACTGGCCTCACTGGCAGCTGATTAGAATGTGCTCACCCAGATTGAGTGTGGGTCTGCCTTTCCCAGTCCACTGACTCAAATGTTAATCTCCTTTGACAACACCGTCACAGACACACCCAGGAACAATACTCTGCATCCTTCACTCCAATCAAGTTGGCAATATTAACCATCACAAGTCCTCCCCTTGTCAACTTGAACCCATATACATCTCCTGAAACCATACATAATCTTCAAACAAAGACAATAATAAGGTCATAATTACACCTAACATAATGCAACTATTCTTCGTACAACTGGAAATGCACCAATCCCCAACCCAAATGCTATTACATAAAATTAACAACGCTTAAATGCTAATATAAAGTCAATAAATCTTATATGATGAAGAAAAAAGGAAATAAAATATTTTCTTAGTACAAGTGTATAAATGCACAAACATGTTCTTAACAAAATAAGGAGGAAATACTCATGACAATTATCGTCCTCATTTCTGCAACTGGTCACATGGTCGTAGCTGGCATCGATGACTGCCTTATTCTACTACCCATTCTGTATTCCCTTTGACTTCAGCAAGCACCTCAGCAGGTCGTGGTTTTTTACCTGGTGGAGTGACCCAAACCTTCATTCCTGAGGGGTCTGGAACCCATTTGCAGTTCTGCCTGAATAGGGCTGTTGCAGTTTCCCAATGACCCTCATCACAGGGCATGGTAAAACTAAGAGATGCCCTAACTCCTGTATTCCACACATACTCTTCCTTAGCTTCACTGTGGTGTAGTAGACTGATTTCATCTTGATAGTCTGGGAAAATCACCCCAACCAACACTGTAACTCCCTTCTTAGCCTGTTGACTTAGGTAGGAAAAGTGTCCAGGTGGCAATCTTAACTTCCAGTTAAATTGAATCGTTATTGTTTCCCCTGTTGGCAGCATTCCTCCCTCTGGAACTGAGACCTCTAGGCCAGCAGAATATAATGTCATGGGAACAGGAAACAAAAATTTTGCTAGTGTGTCATTAGAGGTGATGGAGAGTGGTGCCACTTCCACTTCCACCCCTTGATTTCTGGACCTGTGAATCCTGGCTATGGGAGAAACAGTACCATATATTGGATGCTGATTCAGAGCATACACAGCCCTCTGGATAACTTTGCCCCAGCCCTGCAAAGTATTGTCACATAGTTGGTGTTGTAAGTGTGACTTCAAAAGGGCATTCCACCTGCTTCAGGATGATGGGGAACATGGTAAGACCAGTGAATTCCATGAGTATGAGCACAGTGCCACACTTCTTTAGCCGTAAAGTGAGTGCCGTGGTCAGAGGCAATGCTGTGTGGAACACCATGATGGTGGATGGTGGATAAGGCATTCTGTGAGTCCATGAGTGGAAGTCTTGGCAGAAGCATTGTACACAGGATAGGCAAACCCATATCCAGAGTAAGTGTCTATTCCAGTGAGGACAAATTGCTGTCCTTTCCATGATGGAAGAGGCCCAATATAATGAACCTGCCACCAACTAGCTGGCTGATCACCCCAAGGAATGGTGCCATATCAAGGGCTCCGTGTTGGTCTCTGCTGCTGGCAAATTGGGCACTCAGCAGTGGCCGTAGCCAGGTCAGCCTCGGTGAGTGGAAGTCTATGTTGCTGAGCTCATGTGTAACTTCCATCCCTGCCACCATGGCCACTTTGTTCATGGGCCCATTGGGCAATTACAGGGGTGGCTGGGGATAGAGGCTGAGTGGTGTCCACAGAATGAGTCATCCTATCCACTTGATTATTAAAATCCTCCTCTGCTGAGGTGGCCCGTTGGTGAACAATCACATGGGATACAAATGTCACAGTTTTTGACCACTCAGAGAGGTCCATCCACATACCTATTTCCCAAATTTCTTTGTCACTAATTTTCCAGTCATATTTCTTGCAAGTCACTAACCATCCAGCCAAACCATTGGCTACAGTATATAATTTCACGTCTGGCCATTTTTCCTTCCACGCAAAGTGCACAGCCAGGTGCACTGCTCAAAGTTCTGCCCACTGGGAAGATTTTCCTTCACCACTGTCATTCAGGGATGTCCTAGAAAGAGGTTGTATTGCTGCAGCTGTCCACTTTTGGGTGGTGCCTGCATGTCATGCAGAACCATCTGTGAACCAGGCACTAGTCTTCTCTTTCTCTGTCAACTGATCATAAAGAACTCCCCATGAGACCAACAGTGCAGGCTGAGGGAGAGAAGGCAGGGTTGCAGGAGTGGAGTACATAAGCATTTGAGCCACTTCCTCATGTAACTTACGTGTGCTTTCAAGACCTGCTCAAGCCCAATTACGTATACACCACTTCCATTTGATGATGGAATGCTGCTGTGCGTGCCCCACTTTATGGCTACATGGGTCAGAAAGCACCCAGTTCATGATAGACAGTTCAGGTTGCATGGTAACTTGATGACCCATAGTCAAATGTTCAGTTTCCACCAAAACCCAGTGACAGGCCAAGAGCTGTCTCTCAAAAGGAGAGTAGTTATCTGAAAAAGATAGCAGAGCCTTGCTCCACAATCCTAGAGGCCTCCATTGTGATTCACTTATGAGGGCCTGCCAAAGGCTCCCAACAACATTCCTGTCTGCCACTGTGCCTCAAGCACCATTGGATCTGCTGGGTCATATGGCCCAAATGGCAGAAAAGCTTGCACAGCAGCCTGGACCTGTTGCAGAGCCTTCTCCTGTTCTGGACCTCACTCAAAAGTGGCAGCCTTTTGGGTCATTCAATAAATGAGCCAGAATAACACACCCAAATGAGGAATATGTTGTCTTCAAAATCTAAATAGGCCCATTAGGTGTTATGCCTCTTTCCTTGTTGTAGAAGGGGCCAAATGCAGAACTTATCCTTCACCTTAGAAGGAATATCTCGACAGGCCCCAACCACTGAACTCCTAGAACTTTTACTGAGGTAGAAGGTCCCTGAATTTTAGTCAGATTCATTTCCCATCCTCTGGCATACAAATGTCCCACCAACAAATCCAGCGTGTTTGCTATTTCTTGCTCACTGGGTCCAATCAGCATAATGTCATCAATGTAACAGACCAGTTTGATATCTTGGGGAAGGGAAAAGTGATCAAGATCTCTCCAAACAAGATTATGACACAAAGCTGGAGAGTTGATATACCCCAAAGATAGGATATTGCTGGCCTTGCTAGCTGAAGGCAAATTGCTTCTGGTGGGCCTTATGGACAGGAATGGAGAAAAAGGCATTTGCCAAATCAATGGCTGCATACCAGGTACCAAGAGATGTGTTAATTTGCTCAAGCAATGAAACCATTTCTGGTACAGTAGCTGCAATCAGAGTCACCACTTGGTTAAGCTTATGATAATCCACTGTCATTCTCCAAGATCCATCTGTCCTCTTCACAGGCCAAATAAGAGAGTTGAACTGGGATGTAGTGGGAATCACCAACCCTGCATCTTTCAAGTTTTTGATGGTGGCACTAATCTCTACAATCCCTCCAGGGATGTGATATTGTTTTTGATTTACTATTTTTCTAGGTAGAGGCAGCTCTAATGGCTTCCATTTGGTCTTTCCCACCATAATAGCCCTCACCCTACCAGTCAGGGAGCCACTGTGGGGGTTCTGCCAGATGCAAAGTATGTCTATGCCAATTATGCATTCCAGCACTGGGGAAATGACCACAGGATGAGTCCAGGGACCCACTGGACCCACTGTAAGTCAGACAAAAGCTAAAACTCCATTAATTACCTGATCTCCATAAGCCTCTACTTTTACTGGAAGGCCACAATGATGTTTTAGGTCCCTGAAATCAGTGTCAGCTCAGAGCCAGTGTCCAGTAGTCCTCAAAATGTCTGATCATTTCCCTTTCCCCAGTGCATAGTTATCCTGGTAAAAGGCCAGAGGTCTCCTTGGGGAAGGATGGGAGAAAGATTAACAGCATAAATTGTTGGTAGTGTAGTGGGGTCATTCCTCAAGGGGACCTGGCCTCCTCTTCATTGAAGGGGTTCTAGGTCTGTAAACTGGTTCAAGTCTGGAAATTGATTGAGGGGCTGTGATTCTGTTTATATAATTCAAATTAGTCTTTTGTCCACTCAGCCTGGAAGTTTTCTGCTTATATAAATTAAGTAAGAATGCAGTGGGCTTCCTATCAATTTCACTTTTAGGAACACTGTGATTAATTAGCCAATGCCAGAGCTCTACATGAGTCAGACTATTCTGATGGCTGCTTTGCCTCTGCTGTCCATTATGGTAGCTATGCCCACCTTGCCTTTGATGGTTGAGTGCCGCCACTTGGCTCGTGCCACCTCGGGATCCAATTATTCCCATTGCATTTAAATTTTGTAGTTGAGTGACTGCGGTTCCCACTGTTAGATCTGGCATACAGAGAAGAGCAATCACAGAGCTCTTCAAGGATGCAGATGCTGCCCTCACGAATCTGTTTTGCAAAGTATTAGTGAAGGGTATGTCTTCTGGACCCTCCCAGCTTGGATGAGTAGGTCTAAAGTGACTAATCCACTCCAGCATCCCAATCTTCCTAAGCCTTTTGATCCCTCCCTGTACATTACACCAAGGGAGATTAGGCATTTCCAGCTCACCCACAGTGGGCGATCTTTTAACCCATATTTCAGCTAACCAAGCAAACCAACAATTAGAACCTTTTTAACTTCCTGAGCTGCAACATTAAATGCATAATCCCTGTGTAGTGGGCCCTAATCAATAAATTCAGCCTGATCAACCTCTATGTTTCTTCCAACATTATCCCACACCTTTAATAGCCATTCCCCTGCCTGTTCTCCAGATTTCTGCTTATATAAATTAGAAAACTCAAGTAGTTCTTTTGGAATGTAGCACACCTCCTTGTGGGTCACACTATGAACCTCACCTCTAGGGGCCTGCTTCTAGTTATAGGTTGGGAGTGGTTCCTGAGGAGAATAAACATTGTCTTGCCTCACAACTGCCTCAGGGGAGGCCATCACTGTTGCCTCAGGCAGCACAGGCTTTATCTTCTCAGACAAAGGTGGAAAAGCTGATGGCAGCGTGGGTCAGGGAGGGATGTTGCCCCCACTGGGGATGGGGAAGTTGTTTCTTCTGGCAAAAAAAGGCTCATCGGAATTTACAAATTCAGTGTCCCCAGCTTCATCAGGAATGCTGATAGAAATAACTATATTATAGATTCACAAAAACCTTTTTATTCCTGTCAGACTTTCAAATTCTTGATAAGCTGTTTCACAACCCTAGGTAGTTGTAAGCTAAATAGCATTAAATATGCATATTAAAGGAAATAACTCAGGTGAAAATCAAATAGCAAATTTTACATCATAAGGTACAGAGAAAAGTCTGGTGTGCTAGAGGGAGATTAAAAATGAATGTCAAATCAAACATAAAATTACAAAAATCTATCATGGGATTGTATGAGAAAACCAATCGTATTTAGGTAGGGACTACCTATCTTTTAACTGGATCAATGAGCTCCGGGCAGAGCCCACACTTAATCCTGGGTTTCCAAACCGGGAGAATTATTATGAGGTTAGACAATGTGATGTTTTTACAGTACACTTTAAACAATTTGTTTGAAACAGACATTTCTAAGTGTCTACACTACACTCTTCTTTAAAAACCCAAGAGTAACCTGTTTCAATAACTATTTTAGTCAGTAAATCAGGTAACATAATACAAAAGCAAGCAGTTTAAAGCTGAGATGAACTTATCTGTTCACACTCTTGGGCTTCCATAAGGAAAAACAGGTTTATCCCCCAAAGGGAGTCTGGGGCCTTCTCTGTTTTCTTTAAGGAACCCCACCCAGGCTGTTATAAACTATTTTAGGTCCCTCATGCAGCAGAGGGTGCAAGAGAAAGGAGAGACAGCAGAAGTAAATGAACAAAACAGAGTTTGATCAGCTGAGAAGACAAAAACTTTTGCTCAATAAAAAGGACAACGTCCTAGGAAAGGAAACAAAAAACAAATATAAAGGCCTTTTAAATACAAACACACATAGACACAGACACATCTTGGAGGTTAGCTTTTAATTAAGCTGACTTTAACCATTGAGCTCTTAAAACAAAATCTTTTTAAATCTCATTACCATATTTCAGCTAGGGCAGATTGCCACTATTTCAGAAGTACCAAGTATCAAACCAGAAAGAACTTGATTTAGGAACCAAAATCCAGGCTGTCATGGTGGAAAAAAGGCAGAACCTTAGCTATCAAACTGTAGCATGGGGTGACAGCCATTGCTTTCAGTTTCACCTGGCTAGCAAAAGGGTTGCCTTGTATGTAAATAAAGCCCCTTAAGTAGTCAAAATCAGAAATCTTTCCTTTTTTGTTTTCCTTTTTCTGGCCGTTTTTCTCCTCCCACCATACCACTTTTTTTTTTTGGTGGGAATTTAGCCATTTCAGAGACCTCATTCCTCATAATTTGGAGCTTTCCTTCAGATTCGATCAAGACGGATAGAGTTGGTCAAACCCAATGGGAAACAAATCAAAACAACAAAAACAGAAACAAACAACAATAACAACAACAAAAAAACAGTTAAGCAAAACAAATGATCGCGTAACTTATATGATTACTGAGTGCTCTAATGGTAAGGAGAAATTAAGACCAGATGGCTGTTAATTTTAACTTTAGCCAAGACAAACCCCAACTTAGTTACCTACCTAGGAATGGGTCTCAGGCTGAAGACTTCTCTCTACCATCCTAGGACCAGGAAAAAAATCTCATATTCCCTATTGGAAGCAAGCTGAAATTCCATAAAGGAGTCAACTGCTGTCCATCATCTTGAAAGCAGGAAGAGCTTGCCTTCCTTGTGCTGAAAGCAAGTAAAACTCCAAAAAAAAAAAAAAAAAAGGAGTTGTATAGCAAAATAAAATTTAGATCTTGATTAAATTTGGGGAGATTAAGGATTCTCTGGAGGGTGTGCTTCCAGGCCTCAGCAAATTGTCTTACTGGTTTGACCCATAAAGATAGCTCAAGCTGGTACCAAGCACTGATATGAGCTTTGTCAAAAATCAAGGGCATCTCCACCCAGAATCCCTTTGTAGTTACCAAAATGTAAACCCCCAAAATCTGAGACAGGTCTCAGTTAATTTAGAAAGTTTATTTTGCCGAGGTTAGGGATGTGCACCTATGTGTTGTCTGTAATGGTTCCTATTTTGATTAATAAAGATGTGTTTGAGCCTAGTTATAATAATTTAAAATTCACGGTCTGAAACTGCAATTACTTTTGCACCAATGTAAGTATACATCTTACTGCAAATTTCCCTTTATTCTCATCTGTACCCCAGATATTAGCATTATTTTTCTTTCCTCCTTGGAGATATAGGCTTGGATCCTCCATGTCCACAGGCTTTGGAGGTCTTTTGGAATCTTTAGTAATTCCTGTTATTTTTTAAATCCCTCTTAAAGAAGTATAATACACAGGGGGAATTTGCAAATATCTTCACCATATTGAGAGCAACATGAGACAAATTGAGAGCAATAATCAAAGCTGATCCTCTTACAACTATACGAAAAGTTGCCAAAGAACTCAATGTTGACCCTTCTGTGGTCGTTTGGCATTTGAAGCAAATTGGAAAGGTGAAAAAGCTTGATAAGTGGGTGCCTCATGAGCTGAGTAAAAAATAAAAAGAGAAGTTATTAACATACAACCCTCACAGATTAAACCAGGAAGAAATAGAAACCCTGAACAAACCCATAACAAGCAGCAAGATTGAAATGGTAATTTTAAAATTGCCAACAAAAAAGTCCAGGACCAGATGGATTCACAGTTAAATTCTTTCAGATATTCAAAGAAGAATTGGTGCCAGTCCTATTGAAACTATTCCAAAAGATAGGGAAAGAGAGAATCCTCTCTAAATCATTCTATGAAGTTAGTATCACCCTAATACCAAAGCCAGGAAAGGACAATATCAAAAAGGAAAACTACAGATCAATATCCCCGATGAACATAGATACAAAAATCCTCAACAAAATACTAGCTAACTGAATCCAACAGCATATCAAAAAGATAATCCACCATGATCAAATGGGTTTCATACCAGGGACACAGGGATAGTTTAATATATGCAAGTCAATAAATGTGATACACCACATAAACAGAATTAAAAACAAATTCACACGATCATCTCAACAGAGAAAAAACATTTGACAAAATCCAGCATCCCTTTATGAATAAAACCCTTAACAAAATCAGCATAGAAAGGACATACCTTAAGGTAATAAAAGCCATCTATGAGAAACCCACAGCCAACATTATATTGAATGGGGAAAAGTTGAAAGAATTCCCCCTGAGAACTGGAACAAGACAAGAATGCCCACTATCACCACTTCTATTAAACATAGTACTGGAAGTCCTGGCCAGAGCAATCAGAAAAGAGAAGGGAACAAAGGGCATCCAAATCGGTAAAGAGAAAGTCAAACTGTCACTGTTTACTGGTGAATTGTATACCCAGAGAACCATAAAGACTTATCCAAAAAGCTCCTAGATCTGATAAATGAATTCAGTGAAGTTTCAGAATTTAATGTAAAATTAATGTACACAAATCAGTAGCACAGCTACACACCAACAGTGACCAAGCTGATAATCAAATCAAGAATGTAACTGCTTTTATAATAGCTGCAAAACAAAAACAACAACAAAACCCACTTAGGAATATACCTAACCAAGGAGGTGAAATACCTCTACAAGAAAAACTTCAAAACACTGGTGAAAGAAATCATAGGTGACACAAACAAATGGAAACACTTTGCATACTCATGAATGGCTGGAATCAATATTGTGAAAATGACCTTACTGCCAAAAGCAATCTGCAAATTAAATGCAATTCCCATCAAAATACCATCATCATTCTTCACAGAACTAGAAAAAACAATCCTAAAATTTACATGGAACAAAACAAGAGCCTGCACAGCCAAAGCAATACTAAGCAAAAAGAACAAATTTGGAGGCATCACATTACCTGACTTCTAATTATACTATAAGGCTACAGTCATTAAAACAGCATGGCACTGGTATAAAAATAGGCACATAGACCAATGAAATAGAATAGAGAACCCAGAAATAAACCCAAATACTTACAGCAAACTGATCTTCAACAAAGCAAACAAAAACATAAAATAGGGAAATGACACTGTATTCAACAAATGATGCTGGGATAATTGGCAAGTCACATGTAGAAGAATGAAACTGGATACTTATCTCTCATCTTATATAAAAATCAACTCAAGATGGATCAAAGACTTAAGTCTAAGACCTGAAAACATAAAAATTCTAGAAGATATTAGAAAAACCTTTCTAAACATTGGCTTAGGCAAAGACTTCATGACCAAGAACCCAAAAGCAAATGCAACAAAAGCCAAGATAAATAATTAAACTAAAAACTTTCTGCACAGCAAAAGAAATAATCAGCAGAGTATACAGACAACCCACAGAGTGGAAGAAAATCTTTTGCAAACTATGCATTCAACAGAGGACTAATGTCCAGAATCTACAAGGAACTAAAAGAAATCAGCAAGAAAAAAAAAAAACAAATAATCCCATCAATACGTGGGCTAAGGACGTGAACAGACAATTCTCAAAAGAAGATATACAAATGGCCAAGAAACATTAAAAAATGCTCAACATCACTAATTATCGGGAAATGCAAATCAAAACCACAATGCAATACTATCTTACTCCTGCAAGGATGACTATAATTTAAAAATTAAAAAAAAAATAGATGTTGGCATGGATGTTGTGAAAACAGAACACTTTCACACTGCTGGTAAGAATGTAAACTAGTACAACCACTATGGAAAACAGTATGGATATTTCTTAAAGAACTAAAAGTAGATCTACCATTTGATCCAATAAACCTACTACTGAATATGTCCCCAGTGGAAAAGGAGTCATTATACAAAAAAGACACTTGCAGATGCATGTTTATAGCAGCAAAATTCACAATCTCAAAAATATAGAACCAGCCCAAATGCCCATCAATCAATGGGTGGTGTATATATATACCATGGAATACTACTCAGCCATAAAAAGGAATGAAATAACAGTATTTGCCACAACCTGGATGGAGTTGGAGACCATTATTCTAAGTGAAGTAACTCAGGAATGGAAAACCAAATATCGTATGTTCTCACTTATAAGTGGCAGTGAAGCTATGAGGACACAAAGGCATAAAGATGATAAAATGGACTTGGTGACTCAGGGGGAAGATGACTACACATTGGGTACAGTGTACACTGTGCGGGTGATGAGTGCACAAAATTTCAGAAATCACCACTAAGGAATTTATCCATGTAACCAAACACCACCTGTTCCCCAAAAACCTACTGAAATTTAAAAAAGAGAGAAAAAGATGTGTTATTTCAAAGTGAAATATTAGTGACTGAAATGAGTACACTGAAGTTTCTGCACTTCACTATGTGTTATGTCAATAAAACAAATAAGCAAAAAAAATCACTTGCAAATAGATCAAAAAGTAAAAATGTTGTCATCAGAAATGAAAATTATTTTAGTGGGTAATCAGAATATGAAAGGTTCAATCTACTTCACATTTTTGAAGACTATTTCAGTGTTCCCCCTAAGATACTCATCTCTTGGAAAACGGTAAATGAATGTGCTAAAGGTTATTCATATTATCAGTTACAGTTATAAAGCAATGGAATTATTTGGGAATAAGAGCTGGTGGGGTTACAATATCTTGTTTTAATATCTGTACATGGGATATTTTCACTTTTTTTCCTCCTGCAGAATTTTCACATCTTCAAACTTATACTCTCCTTTTTATTGATTTTTGTCAGAAGTTTCTTTATGTAACATTACCAAAAAGACAATGGGTTGTACCATCTTCAAAATTTCAGATCATCTCATCTGTCCATAATGGCATCTGTCACTGCATTGGTTTCCAAGTCAAGCAGTGGGTGAACTTTCCAGCCTTCTCAAAAAAATGTCCCAAAGGCTGTTTTAATTCCATCTGGAATTAGAGTATGCCAGTGCCATGGAGGAAGCAGTTTTTCTTCTTTCTCTTCTCCCTAAATGTGGTCACTCCCACACCCTCAGGTGAGCTACTTGCCGTTGGCAGGCATCATTCTTTCCTTTGCCATGGCTCATGTCAGTACAGCCAAAATACCTGCCACAGGAATTCCTAGCCAGGATACTGGAAATGACTTATCAGAATCTGGGCTGCCTTAGATTGGAATCAATGGCTCACAAAACCGTGGAAACTCAGAATCACGGAACAATAGAACCTGGGAGCAGACTGTACAGGGAGTTAACAATGTAATTTCTTGAAGTTAAAAAGACATCCTTGGCTGAGCGCAGTGGCAAACGCCTCTAATCCTAGCACTTTGGGAGGCCAAGGCGGGTGGATCACTTGAGGTCAGGAGTTTAAGACCAGCCTGGCCAACATGCTGAAACCCCATCTCTACCAAAAATACAAAAATTAGCCGGGCATGGTGGTGCGTGCCTGTGGTCCCAGCTACCCAGGAGGCTGAGGCAAGAGAATCGCTGGAACCCAGGAGGCAGAGTCTGCAGTGAGCCAAGATTGTGCCACTGCACTCCAGCCTGGGCAACAGAGTAAGACTCCGTCTCAAAAAAAAAAGTCATCTTTTCTGATAATGAAGAATATTTTCCTTCTTATACACCCTTAGTTTAGAAATGTGGAGAGGCGTGTTTTCCCATAAAGAACAAGCCTGTTAATATTTGTTGGTTGCTGATATTATACAGTCCTGGTGAATTTTTCCTCTTCATTGCTAGTAAGTTTTCCCCAATGAAGTCTATTTTAGCCAGTGTAAGTAGGGCAATAACATCTTTCTTTTGAATAGTGTTTGAATAATGTATATGTATTTTCATCCTTTCTGTTTCAAGATTTCTGTAACCTAATATTTAAAATCTATATCTGCTATAAGCATATAGTTTTTAAAAACTCACTCTACTAATCTTTGCCTTTTACATAATATTTAGTCTATTAACATTTAATGAAATTTTGATATATTTGAGTTTATATGTAACATCTTCCAAATTATTGTCCATTTCTCCTGCCTGTTTTAGTTCTTTTTCTAATATACTTTTGAATTGGCTGAATATTCTTTAATATTCTATTTTTCCTTTTCCTTTCTCTTAGCTTGTGAGTTATGCATTCCTCCTCCACTAATCCTTTTGTGCTTGTATATGTGTTTGTATTCTAATATATGTCAATAATGTTAACGCTTACTGGTCAGAAGTAAATATTTAGAAAAATTTAACTCCATTTATTCCCTTTCTAATTTATGTTCTAATGTTACTCTACATGGGTATGTGGTAGATGGTATGCATCACACATCCTCTCACCAGCAAGAAGAGAAAGAGACAAACAGAGAGATGGGAGAGATGGGAAATGGTCTGTGAAGTTTTATTTCACCTTCTCCTTATAACTCTGGTCCTGGGGTTTTCATGAAGCATCAGGACACGCCCATCGTCAAGAGCAATAATCAGTCATCCAGCTACATTTTTATCTCCCTGACTCTGTTTCCCTGTCCCATGGTCTTTATGGCCATTGCACAGCACTAACGTGCTGCCTCCAACAAACACCCATTGAAATTGCATTTACAATAGTGGCTTACATTCTTGCCAGGATTGGTCAAAGCCAATGTACAGAATAGGAGTTTGGACAGACGGGGGAAAATCTGTGGGCAGACCCAACCTTGTGATAGGAGAAAAATAGGCTGACAGGACATCATGGCTCATTGTCTGCCATTTGCCATTCTGTAAAGCAGAGCCCACAGCCTACCATTCCAGGGTGTGCCTCAGACATGATAGTGAAGGAAGAAAGCACAGGACCTGCAGGTGAGAGGATTGAATTGTAAAGAGATTTGAAAGGGTTGACTAGTAATGACGAAGACATACAGCTGTTAGGAAGTAATGTTTAATGTGGAAGAGAGGAGCAATGTGAAATCCAGGGCTTTGGGAACAAGAGGAACAAGAGCTGGGGAGAAGGAAATCTACATAGAAGAAAAACTTGGGAAGTAAGGATTCCTTTTTCTACGATGGGAAAAATTAATTTTAATAAGGAAATGAATCATGAGAAATATAGTAATAGCAAAGCAAATAGTGAAAAAATGCATAAACAAAGGTAAAAGATGGAAAAGAAGGTCAAGCGTCTGGCTGGCCAGAGCAGAAGGGACTGGTTTGGCAGGGCTAGAGTGATCAACAACTAGTTCCTCCCAGGTAAGATTTTGTCCTGTAGCCCTTTTGTTTTCTTGGGACCCTGGATAGATTCCAGCTCTGTGCCTGAAATTTAGGGCTCCAAGAGAAATTGCATAGTAGTATTTGTGCAGGAAGTACAGCCAGGGGCTAAGAAAAACCAGGTCCTGGCTGTTACCTATGGCTTTACCTATGGCTCAAGATAATGGTGAAGTTACAACCTGAGGATCATGAGGCCTTTGACAGGCTGCTTGGTAAGTGCCTCCAGATCTCTCCCTCAAATCCTATTTCTCTTAAACAGGAAGACCCTTTCAAAACTAGCTTCCCCAAAGCAGTGCCTGCTTACTGATTACATGTCAAGAACATTTAGAAAATGATAAAAGGTTAGGCTATATAGCACTATACTTGGGAATGAAATTATCGGTTCAGGTGTAGCTTCTGCAGTTATGAAGTTTCTGGATCTTATTTCTTGCATTGCAAAATGGGGACCAGAACACTAACCCCATACCCTGTTGGGAATATTAAATATGAATGAGAATGTCTTTGTAAATTCCAAACTGATGCATTTATGTATTATGAAGAATTATAATTGTTCATTTAAAATTCTTAGTTATACAGATGTTAAAAAATTATAACCTCATATATTTACATCTATCAGGAGCCTTGAAATTGGGATTTACTGTCCCAAAATTATCCAGAGGTAATCATTATATTTTATCCCATATTGTTATGGACTTATTTTATATACAAATCTATTTTTTCTCCAATATCATCAGCCTCGAATAGAACATTTCCACTGAACTTGCAAAAATTTCAACACTGTTATTCATTAAAACAAGCACCTTTTTGAGCTCCCTTCTTTTAGATATTTCCTTTTTACTCTTCTTCAGAAGCAAGCTTCTTTAAACAGTGGTCTAAAACTTTTTTCTGCAGCTTTACTTCATATTCACTAGTCATACCATTATATTCCTGTGCTCTGTTCTGCGCCAGTTTCACAGATGTCTCTCTTTCTAAAGCACATATGAAATTCTGTTTTCTAAATTTGACAGACACAAACCCTAAATTAGTGCAACCCTAAGAAGAATCTCTCAGTGTGGCCACTTCTTCATTTTATTATCATTCCATTCCATGTCTCTACTGTTTTGTTTTTCTTTTCCTGTTATTTCTTCTCAACTCCCCCATAAATTCTTCTTTCTTTCTTCTTCTGCCCCTGAAAGGTTAGCATTTTCTAAGGTCTTTTTTTTAGCCTTCTTCTCCTCCCTGCCAATGGGCAGCAGTAGTGCCAGACGGAAAGTGAGGCTGGTGTGTTCATTCCTTACATCCCTCTTTGCAAGATCTAACTTCCCAGGTCCCTCCTGGTCTAGGGCTGTCATTGCTCTCCAATGTTGCTAGCCCCAGGATGCTTCTTGTATCTCTTAGTTTAGCAGGGCCAGTCAACTTTAGATAAATTATACTGCAGTTAAAAACCTTCCTATAATCTCAGTGACAGTCAATAGACTTAATTTATTACCTCTTTTACATACCTAGAGTAGGTCAGCTCAAAAATTTAGGCTGATGAATATCTAAGAACTTGCTTGGGGAGAGAATAAAAGAGAAGGTGGCAGATCAGATGGCAATTCTTAAATCTTCTTAAAAGCAGCACATATCACTTCCCCCACAATCCATTGGCTGAAATAAGTCATATGGTCAGGTCTGAAATGTATGATGTAAACAGTTTAATTGTCTCTCAATGAGGAGGCTGGTGTGGCAGACAGACTCTAAAACAGTTCCCAATTATTCCCTCCTTTGATATTCACCCCTTGTACAATCTCCTTGAATGTGGACAGGAACTGTGGCCTGCTTCTAACCAACAGACTATAGCAAAGGTGATGGGGTGTCACTCTGTGACTACATTACGTAAGATTATATCCTGTGTCTTACTAGGACTTCCTCTTCCTTGCTAATTTTGATGACATATTCTGTTATGTTGAGAGCTACACTATGGAAAATAAGTGCCACATGGCAAGGAACTGAGGGTGGCTTCAACTCACAACCAACAAGGAAAAAACTCTTGAAAAAATGAATTCTGCCAATAATGTGAGTGAGCTTGGAAGCAGATCCTTTTCCACTTGAACATTCAGATGAGACCACACCCCTGGCTGGGAACTTCATCATAGCCCATGAGAGACATTGAATCAAAAGACTCAGCCCAATTGTACCTGGGCTTCTCATCCACATAATCTGTAAGATAATAAACATGTATTTTATTAAGTCTCTAGTTTGTGGTAGTTTTATGCAGCAATAGTTAATAATCCATATTTGAGGGTTCTGGTAGGAAATAATATGAAATATTTTTTTCAAATAATTCAATCTGCACAGTCCACTTTTCTGGATATTTGCAAATATTCATTTCTTTCCTTTAGCATGCAAAACATCCTCACCCCCTCCTTAAAGGATGCATCCAAAATTTCCATCATCTTGGCCTAAGACTCAAAGTCCTGAATGTCATCATTATTTGTACATAAGTTTCAGATGGACTATTACTTAATCTAGAGACCTGCGACTAAAAATCGCAAGTTATCTCCCTCCACTCCCAACATCCAATGAACAGAGACAGGATAACAAGAACAAACATGCCCATTTGGAAAGAGAAAAAAAGTGAAAGCTGGTGGTAATCTCTTACATTGATGATACTAATGAACAACTCCCTCTGGTGTTCCCCTCATTTAGTCCCCTCCTCTTGAATCTGACCCTGCCCTGTGACTTGTTTGAATGTAGAATGCTGTGAAGTAATTTTGTGCTACTTCCTGTCCTAAGCCTTAAAAAGACCTGATAGCTTCTAATTTTGCACTCCTAGGATCCAGCCCCCAAAGAAGAGGTATGATTGTCCTGAAACTACGATACTTTGAAGGAACTCTGAGAGAGCCACTTGGAGAGGCTACATGAGGGAGTACAAAAGGGCTCTAAATGACAGCCCCATGTAAAATCCCAGCCTATAGCAAGGACCAACTGCCACCATCGTACACATTCCAAATCAGTTGAACCTCCAGTGAGCCATCTTGGATATTTCAAACCACTGGAGCCTTCAGGTGACTGAGGTTATAGCTCCCACCACATAGAGAACTACCTAGGTGAGGCCAACTAAATCACAGACTCATGAACAGCAATAAATACTTGTTACTGATTGAAGCCATTCAGTTATGGGTGTCTGATACCATCCACTGAGCAATCTTAAAATCTTGACAGACATTAGAGTGCACATGATAAGACAAAATTTAAACTATACAATACCATCATGTAATATACTCTGAAAAAAAAATCAGTTTCCTAGATCTCACAATTAGTTCACAGGAGATACAGAGAGGGAGAACTAAGTTAACATAAAAAGTCCAGTGAGCAAGGCAGGTAGCACAGACCCCGAGCAATCAGCCTAGTAGCTGTGTCTGTGTGATGCAGAGGCACTAAGTTGGGAGGTCCCAAGGCAGCAGCAGAAGCAATAGTGGTGGCAAACAGTGGCCACAGCCTGGGGAGCAGCACAGGGATCTGGGTGGAAGGCTGGCCAGTCTGTCCATCTTGGACCTTGTTCCTGTGGTGCCTGCATAATTATTAACTCTTTGGCATGAGCTCCAGGACAGGGACTGTGGTTGCTCAGGAAGTAAAGTTTCTTAGTAAACTATTACAAAATAACAGCGTACACATGGGCATTGCAATCAAGTATATTGGAGTTATTAGGATTTAGGATTCCCCCAAAAGTTCAGAATGTCCAGTTTTGAACACTGTTGCATCAGTGCCAAGAAAACACCCACAGGTTTAGAAAGAGAACTGAAACTCAAAGATTATCCAATTTAACAGACTATTTTTATATGAGGCTTTTGATAAACCACTTATTCATAAAACAATTTGAGCATTAATTTTCCTTGTAATGGAGGATCCAGTAATGAAATGCATAAACAGGTGTTTTACACTGTATCATAAAGGCACTTTGTGTTTCTTGTATGAACTTTATAAGGTACAAAAATGTTATAGGAGACGTTAAATTGCCATTGTATAAATTTACGTTTAAATTGTGACATTGCATCACAATTTTCTCCTGTTAGTATTCCAAAATATTTGGTAGTCATGCATTATTTAGCTATATTGAGCAATGAAATCTATTTTAGGGAGTAGTGCATTATTTAGCCATATTGGGCAATGAAATCTATAAAGCTTCTCCCAGTGAGAGGTGCCAGGGTCAAGCTATCCTCCCCTAGGTGACTGTTAAGATGACCTCACCCATTTCTTAGTTGTCATCCTGTACAATCAAGTCAGTAGTTGAAAATGGATGGATCCATTTTTTTGAAAAGATCAACAAAATTGATAGACCGCTAGCAAGACTAATAAAGAAGAAAAGAGAGAAGAATCAAATAGATGCAATAAAAAATGATAAAGGGGATATCACCACCGATCCCACAGAAATACAAACTACCATCAGAGAATACTATAAACACCTCTATGCAAATAAACTAGAAAATCTAGAAGAAATGGATAAATTCCTGGACACATACATCCTCCCAAGACTAAACCAGGAAGAAGTTGAATCTCTGAATAGACCAATAACAGGCTCTGAAATTGAGGCAATAATCAATAGCTTACCAACCAAAAAAAGTCCAGGACCAGATGGATTCACAGCCAAATTCTACCAGAGGTACAAAGAGGAGCTGGTACCATTCCTTCTGAAACTATTCCAACCAATAGAAAAAGAGGGAATCCTCCCTAACTCATTTTATGAGGCCAGCATCATCCTGATACCAAAGCCTGGCAGAGACACAGCCAAAAAAGAGAATTTTAGACCAATATCCTTGATGAACATCGATGCAAAAATCCTCAATAAAATACTGGCACACCGAATCCAGCAGCACATCAAAAAGCTTATCCACCATGATCAAGTGGGCTTCATCCCTGGGATGCAAGGCTGGTTCAACATACACAAATCAATAAATGTAACCCAGCATATAAACAGAACCAAAGACAAAAACCACATCATTATCTCAATAGATGCAGAAAAGGCCCTTGACAAAATTCAACAACGCTTCATGCTAAAAACTCTCAATAAATTAGGTATTGATGGGACGTATCTCAAAATAATAACAGCTACCTATGACAAATCCACAACCAATATCATACTGAATGGGCAAAAACTGGAAGCATTCCCATTGAAAATGGGCACAAGACAGGGATGCCCTCTCTCACCACTCCTATTCAACATAGTGTTGGAAGTTCTGGCCAGGGCAGTCAGGCAGGAGAAGGAAATAAAGGGTATCCAATTAGGAAAAGAGGAAGTCAAATTATCCCTGTTTGCAGATGGCATGATTGTATATCTAGAAAACCCCATCATCTCAGCCCAAAATCTCCTCAAGCTGATAAGCAACTTCAGCAAAGTCTCAGGATACAAAATCAATGTACAAAAATTACAAGCATTCTTATACACCAATAACAGACAAACAGAGAGCCAAATCATGAGTGAACTCCCATTCACAATTGCTTCAAAGAGAATAAAATACCTAGGAATCCAACTTACAAGGGATGTGAAGGACCTCTTCAAGGAGAACTACAAACCACTGCTCAAGGAAATAAAAGAGGATACAAACAAATGGAAGAACATTCCATGCTTATGGGTAGGAAGAATCAATATCGTGAAAATGGCCATACTGCCCAAGGTAATTGATAGATTCAATGCCATCCCCATCAAGCTACCAATGACTTTCTTCGCAGAATTGGAAAAAACTACTTTAAAGTTCATATGGAACCAAAAAAGAGCCCACATCACCAAGTCAATCCTAAGCCAAAAGAACAAAGCTGGAGGCATCGCACTACCTGACTTCAAACTATACTACAAGGCTACAGTAACCAAAACAGCATGGTACTGGTACCAAAACAGAGATATAGACCAATGGAACAGAACAGAGCCCTCAGAAATAATGCCGCATATCTACAACTATCTGATCTTTGACAAACCTGACAAAAACAAGCAATGGGGAAAGGATTCCCTATTTAATAAATGGTGCTGGGAAAACTGGCTAGCCATATGTAGAAAGCTGAAACTGGATCCCTTCCTTACACCTTATACAAAAATTAATTCAAGATGGACTAAAGACTTAAACATTAGACCTAAAACCATAAAAACCCTAGAAGAAAACCTAGGCAATACCATTCAGGACATAGGCATGGGCAAGGACTTCATGTTTAAAACACCAAAAGCAATGGCAACAAAAGCCAAAATTGACAAATGGGATCTAATTAAACTAAAGAGCTTCTGCACAGCAAAAGAAACTACCATCAGAGTGAACAGGCAACCTACAAAATGGGAGAAAATTTTCGCAACCTACTCATCTGACAAAGGGCTAAGATCCAGAATCTACAACTCAAACAAATTTACAAGAAAAAAACAAACAACCCCATCAAAAAGTGGGTGAAGGACATGAACAGGCACTTCTCAAAAGAAGACATTTATGCAGCCAAAACACACATGAAAAAATGCTCACCATCACTGGCCATCAGAGAAATGCAAATCAAAACCACAATGAGATACCATCTCACACCAGTTAGAATGGCGATCATTAAAAAGTCAGGAAACAACAGGTGCTGGAGAGGATGTGGAGAAATAGGAACACTTTTACACTGTTGGTGGGACTGTAAACTAGTTCAACCATTGTGGAAGTCAGTGTGGCGATTCCTCAAGGATCTAGAACTAGAAATACCATTTGACCCAGCCATCCCATTACTGGGTATATACCCAAAGGAATATAAATCATGCTATAAAGACACATGCACACGTATGTTTATTGCGGCACTATTCACAATAGCAAAGACTTGGAACCAACCCAAATGTCCAACAATGATAGACTGGATTAAGAAAATGTGGCACATATACAACATGGAATACTATGCAGCCATAAAAAATGATGAGTTCATGTCCTTTGTAGGGACATGGATGAAACTGGAAACCATCATTCTCAGCAAACTATCGCAAGGACAAAAAACCAAACACCACATGTTCTCACTCATAGGTGGGAAATGAACAATGAGAACACATGGACACAGGAAGGGGAACATCACACACTGGGGACTGTTGTGGGGTTGGGGGAGGAGGGAGGGATAGCATTAGGAGATATACCTAATGCTAAATGACGAGTTAATGGGTGCAGCACACCAACATGGCACATGTATACATATGTAACAAACCTGCACATTGTGCACATGTACGCTAAACCTTAAAGTATAATAAAATAAAATAATAAATAATAAATAATAAATATTTATTTATTTAATAATATTTAATTAATAATATTAATTAATAATTAATAAATAACAATAAAATAAAATAAAAAAAGAAAATGGATGGATCCACAGCAGGTGTATGTATATGGATGAGGAAGAGGGATTAAGAAAATGCAGCAGGCCCCATGCAGTGGCTCACACCTGTAATCCTAGCACTTTGGGAGGCCGAGGCAGGTGGATTGCTTGAGCCCAAGAGTTTGAGACCAGTCTGGGAAACATAGCAATACCCTGTCTCTGAAAAATAAAAAAACTGCAGCAGTATTTTAAAGGTTGGTGCATGGAAGTCATGGAAGGAACACTACCCCAATTGGTAGATATTGAAAAAAATATTACCAACATCACAGTTAACATAGAGGATACACAAATATAAATAGAATGTTTAAAAATCACCCTTAGAGAGAGTAGAATTTTGATACATTTTATTTTATTTTATAATTTTTATTTATTTATTTATTTTTGAGACAACGTCTCGCTCTGTTGCCCAGGCTGGAGTGCAGTGGTGCGATCTCAGCTCACTGCAGCCTCTGCCTCCCAGGTTCAAGCAATCCTCCTGCCTCAGCCTCCTGAATAGCTGGGACCACAGGTGCACACCACCATGCCTGGCTAATTTTTGTACTTTTAGTAGAGACAGAGTTTCACCATGTTGGCTAGGATTGTCTTGATCTTCTGACCTCATGATCCACCTGCCTTGGCCTCTCAAAGTGCTGGGATTACAGGTATGAGCCGCCACCCCCAGCCTTGATACATTTTATTTTTTAAATCACATATTTAACTTATAAAATTTGGACATATATATACATACTTTTAAAATACTATTTTCTGAAATATTCCCCCATGATAGTCAATGCTGTTAGAGATTTATAATTTATTGTTATAATTTTAAAATCTCTTGAGTTTTGAAGTTAAAACATGTTTTAACTTTTAAAAATTGAGTGTCTCCTAATTAACATCTGGAGAAACTGTTCTTTAAGAGAATGCTTCAGAAAGTCTAAATTAATTGATATCAAATTTTCCCCTTTTACAAAACATATTGTTTCTGTGTTTTTGCCTTCTTCCTAATAGTCTTATTTCACATTTGGCTAGTTTATTTTTCTTTTGCTGCAGTGAACATACTAGTGGTTTATATTTCACTGTTTCTCATTTTATCTGCTCCACTCTGGTAACCAGGTTACTCAGGTCAATAAAACCTGAAGAAAGAGCCCCTATGTCATTCCTAAGTGAACTCAAACTACAGGTGGTGAAAAGATGAAGGTGCCTTAAAGAATCTACCATGTTGGAAAATCAGACCTAGTACGCTGACCTCAAGGCTACCTTACCATTCCTCCTTGTCACTTTTTTGATAAGTTTACATTCTTCCTAATCTGATCACTTCCCATATGCCTACTAAATATCTAAGTCAGCAAGAGAAACCGTTTCAGTCACTTCTCTGGTGGCCAACAGAAAAATTAATCATTTCATTGATTTTAATAAAATTCAACTACTTACTAAGTCATCACAAAATTATAATGAATAAAACAAACTCTTCCTTAAGGATAAAGAAAAAAATGAGAAAATTTCACTGTGCTTCCATTTATTTTTAAGCTGCCAATTATTACATTTATTTTTAATTAGAAAATAAATCTAAGTTTGAGAAAAATTACTCTGCATGTTGAATTTCATTTACCTCATCAACAAAGATATACTAGGAGCTACACCAAGTAGGAGAATTTTGAAAAGTGTAACTCAAAGCAATGCTGGCTAGCAGCCAGGCTATGAGTCTTGGTCCTACTTGTGTTCATAGTACTGAGGGATATCAGCAAAATGGTAAGCTAAGAACCTCCAAACCTTTGTTCATTCATAGAAAAAAATACTATGGATGGTTTAAATAACTTTATAGAAACTCTGAAAAACAGTCAGAAAAAAAGAGCAACCAAGTAAATTCCCATTAAGAAAAAGTCATATTCAAAATTATTGTGTTTTTACTCATTTAAAACATTATGGGACTTTGAGAAAGAGAAGAAAGGGGCAGATAATTTTTTTGAAAAAGTAATAGCCAAAAGCTTCCCAAGTTTGAGGAAAGACATACAAAGAAGCTGTATGAACCACAAGATAAAGCCAAAAAGACCCATAGTGGACAAATTGTAATCAAACTGTTAAAAGACTAATAGAATCTTAAAAGCAGCAAGCGAAAACAGACTCATCATATACAAGCTATTCTCAATAAGATTTTCAGTAAGTTTCTCAGCAGAAAGGTTGCAGGCCAGAAGGCACAGAGATGATATATTTAAGGTGCTAAAAGAAAAAGAAAAATACTTGTCAACTGAGAATTCTGTATTTAGCAAAACTGTCCTGTTAAAATTAGGCAAAAATAAATGCACCCCCAGGTAAACAAGCTAAGAGGCTACATTACTACTAGTCCTCCACTATAATCAGTGTTAAGACAGCCCTTCAAAGTTGAAATAAAATGACAATAGACAGTAACTTGAACACATAGGAAAATATAAAGATCTCCGGTAAAGGCAAATACATGGACATTATAAAAACTAATAGTTTTATATAATTTTGGCTTGTAACTACACTTTATTTTTTAAAGAATTTAAAAGGCAAATTCACAAAAATAATTATAAATCCATGTTAATAGGTACACAACATATATAAAGATTGATTTTTGACAGAAATAACATAACAAAGCAGGAAGGGAAAGTTGTAAAAAAGCAAAGTGTTGGGTGCAATTGAAGTCAAGTTGGTATTAATTCAAAATAGATTGTTATAACTTTGTACTGTCACATGTAACCTCCATGGTAACCACAAAGAAAATATCCACAAAATGTACACAAAAGGAAATAAAAAGGTAATCAAAATGTGTCACTATAAAAAATGAACTAAAAACAAAGGAAAGTAGTAATTGAGGAAATGAGAGAAAAAAAGCTATAAGACAAAGAGAAAACATCAAAATGGCAGAAGTTCCACTTTATCAGTAATTGCTTTAAATGTAAATGGATGTTTCTGTCCAATCAAAAAGCAGATATTGGTAGAATGGGGTTGGGGAGATGTGATACAATTATATGTTGTTTTTATAGATACTTTACGGATTCACTATAGATCTCAGGATACCATAGTTTGAAAGTGAAAGTGGAAGGGTGGAAAGAGATATTCCATGCAAACAGGAACTGAAAGAGAGCAGGGGTGGCTATACTAATATCAGACAAAATAGACTCTAGGTTAAATTTAAATTAAAAACTGTTACAAGAGACAAAGCAAGATACTACATGTAAGTAAAAGAATCAGTTCTAAGATATAATAATTATAAACATATGTACCAAACATCGTATCTCCAAAATATATTAACCAAGCATTGATAAAATTGGAGAGAACAAATAGACAGGTCTACAGTAATAGTAGGAAATATCAATACCCCTCTCTCAATGCTGGATAGAACCACCAGTCTTGAACAATTCTGCAGACCAATTGGACACATGCAGAACACTTCACCCAACAAGATTCCATTAGAATATATGGTTTTTTTCTTAAGTGAATATGTAACATTCTTCAGGAGAGACCATACATTAGGCCACAAAACAAGTGTTAATAAATTTTAAAAGATTGAAATTATGCAGTGTCTTTCCCAATTACTATGCAATAAAACTGAAAATATCAGAAGAAAAACTGGAAAATTCACAAATATGTGGACATTAAACAACACACTTTTAAACAACCAATGGGTTAAATAAGAAAAATTAGAAAAAACCTTAGGACAAATGAAAACACAATTTGCAAAAACTAATGGGACGCTGTAAAAGCAGTATGAAGAGGGAAAATTATAGCTTTAAATACTTACATTTTAAAAGGATAAAAGATTTCAGTTCAACAATACAACTTTATGTTTTAAGGCACTAGAAGAATAATGATCTAAACCCAAAGATAGCAGAAAAAATAAAATAACAAAAGATATGAGCAAAGATTACCATAATTCATTTGAGAATGTTGCCTAAAAATACAGTAAAGAAACTCAATATTATTTTCTCTTCTATTAGAAATTCAACAATATGCACTCTTAAAACACTTCTCCAGGAAATGAGATATTATTATAGACAAACTAACCCGAAATAGAAATAGTTGTTTGATTCTTCTGCTTGTTCCTAGAGTTGAGAATGAAAAAGGGTACATTCTTGTTGAGATTAGTTTCCAGAACTGAAGCCTCAATGGAGAATTGGCCTTTTCCATTCTCTGCAGAATATGGCTTTAAATTATGTCCTTAGAGTTCTCTCTAGCTTATCCCATGCTCTGGGTACCAGCTTTCATCCTTATACCACACTGCATCACTGGCATCACTGCTCTTAATGAGAATGTGTGAACAATTTCCTAATTTCATGAAATAAGAAGTGGACAAACAGCTCAATTAAGAGATGATTATCTAAAATGGGCTTTGATTATAGTTTTAGTATTTTGAATAAGGTGAGCCAGATGGAAATAATGTCCATCCCCTGTGCAACTTAGGTAGAAAAAATAATTCCGTTAATAGTTTAATCAGAACAAATGATTGCTCTAAGGAATCAAATGTAGCAGGAAAAGATAAGAATAAGAAATCTTTAAGAACTAAGGTTTTTAAAACATAAGAATATAAGATAATAATGAGAAGCTGAGTCTAAGAATTTATAGTAATGTCAGAAGTACACCAAAAGCTGATTGAATGGCACAGTTCTGATTTAGTCATTACGCTACCACGGAGGTCAAACTGTCAAAGCAGATTTATGAAAATTATACAGCTTACTTAATACCAAATTTTACTAATTGATGAAGAACATGAGCAAAAAGCAAGCAGAGAAACAGCAATATCCATCTTTGAAAAGGCCCAAAAGATCAGATGTACTTCCAAAAACATATATTTTTGCACTGGAATGTACTTTGTGCCTGAGTAGGAGATTAATGTTACTGTATGTATCATGTACATGCCATACATGTTAGCCCTAGGAGGCCATTTAAGTTTAGAGCTTTTTACATTCCATTAGTTGCACAGGTAGGAAACCTACATGACTAACTTTAGCTCTCCAAGTTGTGCCCTGTACTTCACAAATTCCAGATTCATCTACAATAAGCAATGCAAAAAGCCTACTAAAAACATTGTTAGATGAGAACTTCTTGGGTAATCTTCCTGCTTGTAAATACCATCAGTGGTTACAAGGAGGGAAGAGTAATGAAGCTGTTGCTAGTTCTTTCCCTTTTGTGAAGACACGGATGAAGTGCAGTGCTGGGAGTGGCAAGGGATTGAATCAAGCAAGATTCAGAAATATACAAATGATTCAATGGCCCTTTATATTCAAATCTCCAAATTTGAGTTTTATATATCATCTTCTCAAAGGAACAAAACAAAAAATTCAATCATATACAAAAATTTTGTCTATTATAAAGTTGAATGTTTGCCCCACACCTGGCCTGCCGTCGTGCATTAGGGGACCATGGATGATCAAAAGAATCCCTGTCCTGATGAGGTCCCCCTGATGCTCTTATTTATGCTAAATTGCGAACATTTGATGCACTTGGGTCTATGATTCTTTACCAGCCATACCAATCATGTCTACGACAGATAAGGGGGAGGAAGATGGAGTGCATGCAACACCCTACAGCATTCTCTGCCATTATCTGACTCTTCACCTGCTCCATCTTCCCTTCAAGACCAACGGTAGGAGGGTGCTGCTTATGGTAATCAGATCACCAGGTTGCTGTTCCAGGGCCATATGTAGGGAGTACAACCAAAAGCACAGGCTTCCCTTTATCTCTTTGTTCCTGCCCAACTATCATGTCAATTCTTGCCCTGAAATTTGATCTATCCTTCTTTTCCAGTCCAAGTAAGATGGTTTTTCTTACCTGCATGGCTTCACTGAAACCAAAACTAACATTTCCAAACACATTTCAGTTAAAAGTAGAGATGAATTTTGTTTTTCAAATTTGAAAATGCTCATTAAAATAGAAAGCTAATGTGTGCCAGCTGAGTAATACTCAGATATCTCTGTACAAGAATCCTTCATCCGTCTTTGCCTCGCAGTCCTCCTGGGCCTGGGAGCTGACATCAGGCACAGCCAGGCAGGGAAAACTCATGGCTCGCTCTCACTACAGGGGGTGGAAACCAGAATAATCAAGACCAGTCTGGCAACATAGTGAGACCTTGTCTCTACAAAAAAATTTAAAAATCAGCCAGGCATAATAAGTATGTGCTTGTGGTCCTAGCTACTCAGGAGGCTGAGGCAGGAAGATACCATGAGTTCGAGGCTCAAGTAAGCTAATAATGGCACCACTGCACTCCAGCCTAGGCAAGATAGCAAGACCCTGTCTCAAAAAAGGGGGGTACATAATAATATGTCTTCCCACTCCATATTTATTCACCCCTTACCCCTTAGAAATGACCATAATATCCTTGCAGAACTATTGTATATATACATGAGCAAGTATGCACAAGCTATTTCTCTATGTTACAGACATGGAAGCATTTCTTAAATAATGTCTAACAACCTATTTTTTCTTTAACATGTTGGTAATTGTTCTATATCAGTATATGAAGACCTCCTTTGAAGAAATTTTTAACAATTTCTTATTATTAGGAAATAGAACTTACATAATAGTGCATAATTATGTACTGTTTAAATTATAAGCACACATCTTTTACTGCCATACATATTTTTTTAAATTACGTATGTGACTAGCATCTCAATAAAGCAGACATTTTTTAAAAAATGAATGAAAGAAAGGAAAAGAAATAGGACCCTTCAGCAGCACAGAAAACTCTCTTGTTCCCCTCCAAAAGCTAGAGTTTAAAACCAGCCTGGCTACTGGGTGTATTTTTGGTTTTTTAATGAATGCTTTTACCATCTATACAGGCATCTCTCTGAAACATTATTTACTATATATTTGGCTTACAATTGCTTTATTTGACTTGGGACTTGAGGGGTAGGTTTTCTTGCATAGTTTCTGTATCCTTATCTAGCATGTCACTTATAAAATATATGTGGTGGCCAGGTGTGGTGGCTCATGCCTGTAATCCCAGCACTTTGGAAGGCCAAGGCAGGCGGATCACAAGGTCAAGAAATTCAGACCATCCTGGCCAACATGGTGAAACCCGGTCTCTACTAAAAATACAAAAATTAGCTGGGCGTGGTGGTGTGCACCTGTTGTCTCAGCTACTTGGGAGGCTGAGGCAAGAGAATCGCTTGAACCCAGGAGGCGGAAGTTGCAGTGAGCTGAGGTTGCACCACTGTACTCCAGCCTGGCGACAGAGCAAGAACCCATCTCAAAAAAAAAAAAAAAAAAAAGAGAGAAAAAGAAAAATTACACCCATATATATGGTTAGAATTTTAAAATCCAGCCTGATGATCATTTTACTTTTAACTAAAACATTTAGTCCAATAACACTAAATATAATTATTGATATTTTCAGTTTATATGTAACATTTTATTTTGTGCTATATTTTTTCTGATGCCTTCCTTTGGATTGAGTGTATTTTTGTTACACTATTGTTTTTCTTGTCACTTGCAAGTTATATGCACAGTTTATATTCCTTCGTTAGTTAAAGATATTAGGCATTCCTTATAAACCATAAGATATTAGGCATTACTTACAAACCATAGTTTAAACTTAATCAACATTTTTACTCATGCTCTGGATAAAACAAGAACTTAGAACCCTTTAACATGGTTACTATTTTTTCTGTTTTAGAGGTTTTGTTGTAGATCTCAGTTGTGTGTTTTTAAGCCCAGAAGTCTTTATTATTACTGATAAACTCCATCTTGAGATTCAAGCAACCTGCCTCTCTACTTGCCTGTTCGAACCTGGAGAGGGCTCCTCCCGACCATTACTTGCCTTGAGGTTATACCGTGGGGTTAACATTTTGTCTTGGTGGTCTCCCTGCACCCTGTCCACACCTTTGAAAATACCCTCATTATGACTCAGTTTGAGAGTGCTAGGACCCTGATGATATAATCTTGCATCCATTTTAAGACACTGATCATTTTTAGCACCTGGTGGAGAGTTCCGTGAAGGGAAAGGACCTTCGAAGCAAGCAGCCTTGCCTGGGAATCTTGGCCCCAACACTCAAAAGATCTCAAAGAACAACACAACCACACTCTCTACATGCCCCCGAAAATTGTAAGATACCCTTCTGCACCAGGTGTGTTTCAATGAGTCCAGTGAAATAAAGGAGAAAAGGAATCAATAGGAGGAGATGGAAAATGTTTAATGAAGACAGGAATTAGTATTCACATACCCGCTCCTTCTGGAGATTTTCCAGGACATTTTCTCTGATCTGCAGTAGCTGCACTTCTGGGAGGGCACCTGTGCTGAGGTCCATGTCTAGCTTGGTCCAGACAATGTAGAACTTCTTTCCCATGTCCTCAGCGGTTTTGGCAAGCATCACATGATTCATGCTGAATTGTGCAGATGCAACCATGATGAAGTCATACCGGTTGAACTGCATTTCCATCAGGTAGTTCTCCAGGGTTGTGGTGGCAGACCCTGTGCCAGGCAGGTCCCACAACACCACATTTGAAAAGTGGGAAGAGAAATAGGAGGCACATCTTTGGGTAGCTTTTACCAGCTCAGTAGGAGGTGAGGCCTTACCCTCATGTCCTGTGTTTCGAAGGGCACTGATGAAGGTGGACATCCCATTGCCAGAGTCCCCTGCCATAGTGATGTTAACTGGTGTCCTGGACACTATCTTCAGAGTCTCCTTGATGTTAGAGATCACCTCTGGCAAGTTCCCATCTGCTGAGGCTTTCTCAACATTCATGGCTTCCATCTTCAATAAAATACCCCAATGCTGGCCAGGCGCCGTGGCTCATGCCTGTAATCCCAGCACTTTGGAAGGCCGAGGCGAGCAGATCACGAGGTCAGGAGATTGAGACCATCCTGGCCAACATCGTGAAACCTTCTCTACTAAAATACAAAAAAATTAGCTGCGCGTGGTGGTGTGCGCCTGTAGTCCCAGCTAATACAGGAGGCTGAGGCAGGGGAATCGCTTGAACCCTGGACGCAGATATTGCAGTGAGCTGAGATCACGCCATTGCACTCCAGCCTGGCAACAGAGCAAGACTCCATCTCAAAACAAACAAAACCCAATGCTTATGGTGTGGCAAAAAGAGGTTAAGGATGCAGCTAATAGAGTGTGAGGGGCACTTGGGACACTCTGTCGTATCTGTGGGCACTGGAGTAAGCTGCGGAAGTAGAAGAGCAGGTGAGTTAGGATGGACAGGGTACACATGAATCATCTGACTTTTAGCATCCCCAGCCCTCAACGAAGACTGCAGCAGACGATCTTGACTGAGTGTTCTTTGATTGTTTTTATTCAAGCAATGTGCACATTTCTTCAGGGAGCAAGAAAGGTAGGGTCCCTGAGGAACGCCCTGAGGCCGGTTGTGCCTCCGAGTCAGCCTCCAAAGCAGGCATGTGGCCATGAGATGGCTTGAAAAGCAGAGAATGAACCAAGTCTCCTGAAAAGCCCAAGAGGTTTTTGTCTTTCCCTCTTTTACTCTATCCTAATATAGGTCTGCTCCTTCACAAGTTTCAGTACATATTTCAAGACCAAAACCAGACAAGTAAAAGTGACCTATATATTTCTCTGCTGAAGATGGCGCCAGAGGACATAAAACATCCAATTCCCATTGCTTACTTGAAGCTGTGATCATCCCTGTTTAACACTTACCTCATCAGGCGGGGGAGCACACGTGCAGAGCAGTACTGAAATGCTGCAATATACGTGAAGTAAGCCACCAGCCTTTGACCCCCGAGCTTCCATTAAGACTGTCATGTTGGGCCCAACTGAAGTGAGGGAGAGGAGGAGACAGCATACTCAAATGCTCTGCTCTTTTTCAAGGCAGTGATTAGACAATTGCTTATCATTGCATTCGCCAAACCTGGCTCTTGCAGGTTCCACAAGGGGCCAGGTATTTGAGACTGATTAAAAGAAGGTGATGTGATTTCCTACTCCTACCGGAATTGGTGGGTTCTTCGTCTCACTGACTTCAAGAATGAAGCCACGGACCCTCGCGGTGAGTGTTACAATTCTTAAAGGCTGCGTGTCCGGAGTTTGTTCCTTCTGATGTTTGGATGTGTTCAGAGTTTCTTCCTTCCGGTGGGTTCGTGGTTTCACTGACTCAGGAGCGAAGCTGCAGACCTTCGAAGTGAGAGTTACAGCTCTTCAGGCGGCGAGTCTGGAGTTGTTCGTTTCTCCCCGGGGGGTTCGTTGTTTCACAGGTTTCAGGAGTGATGCTGCAGACCTTCACGGTGAGTGTTACAGCTCATAAAGGCAGTGTGGACCCAAAGAATGAGCAGCAGCAAGATTTACTGCAAAGTGCAAAAAAACAAAGCTTCCACAGCATGGAAGGGGACCTGAGCAGGTTACCACTGCTGGTTCGGGCAGCCTGCTTTTATTCTCTTATCTGGCCCACCCACATCCTGCTGATTGGTCCATTTTACAGAGAGCCGATTGGTCTGTTTTACAGAGAGCTGATTGGTCCATTTTGACAGGGTGCTGATTGGTGTGTTTACAATCCCTGAGCTAGACACAAAAGTTCTCCACCTCCCCACTAGATTAGCTAGATACAGAGTATAGATTGGTGCATTTGCAAACCTTGAGCTAGACACAGGGTGCTGATTGGTGTGTTTACAAACCTTGAGCTAGATATAGAGTGCCAATTGGTGCATTCACAATCCCTTAGCTAGACATAAAGATTCTCCAAGTCCCCACCAGATTAGCTAGGCTCAGAGTGCTGATTGGTGCATCCACAAACCCTGAGCTAGACACAGGGTGCTGATTGGTGCATTTACAATTCCTGAGCTAGACACAAAAGTTCTCCATGTCCCCACTAGATTAGCTAGATACAGAGGGTCGATTGGTGTGTTCGCAAACCCTGAGCTAGACACAGGGTGCTGATTGGTGTGTTTACAAACCTTGAGCTAGATACAGAGTGCTGATTGGTGTATTTACAATCCCTTAGCTAGACATAAATGTTGTCCAAGTCCCCACCAGACTCAGGAGCCCAGCTGGCTTCACCCAGTGGATCCTGCACCAGGCCGCAGGTGAAGCTGCCTGGCAGTCCCCGGCCATGCGCCTGCACTCTTCAGCCCTTGGGCAGTGGATGGGACTGGGCGCCGTGGAGCAGGGAGCGGCGCTCATAGGGGAGGCTCGGGCTGTGCAGGAGCCCACGGAGTGGGGCAGGGGAGAGAGGCTCAGGCATGGCGGGCTGCAGGTCCCAAGCCCTGCCCTGCGGGGAGGCAGCTAAGGCCGGGGAGAAATCCAGCACAGCAGCTGCTGGCCCAGGTGCTAAGCCCCTCACTGCCAGGGGCCATCGGGGCCGGATGGCTGCTCTGAGCGCGGGCCCGCTGAGCCCACGCCCACCCGGAACTCGTGCTGGCCCGCAAGCGACGCCCGCAGCCCCAGTTGCTGCCCGTGCCTCTCCCTCCACACCTCCCCACAAGCTGAGGGAGCCAGCTCCGGCCTTGGCCAGCCCAGAAAGGGGCTCCCACAGTGCAGCGGCGGGCTGAAGGGCTCCTCAAGTGCCACTAGAGTGGGCGCCAAGGCTGAGGAGGCTCCGAGAGCCAGCGAGGGCTGCGAGGGCTGCCAGCATGCTGTCACCTCTCACTAGCATGGCCTGGCAGGTCTGTTTCACACACTCATTGTGAACACACACAACACTGCACACAGCCACTCATACCTGGTGTGCACACTCACCCATGCCCAGCCATGTTTACTTACCCCCCCACACACACACTCTCACTCACCCTCGGCATGCACACATACACTTACTTGCATTCTGTGCACAGGCCCACACATACTCACACTGACACACGTTCACACACCCTAACATACTTAAGCTGACATGTGTAAACATGAATACATACATCCCTGTTGCACACACTACACTTGCTCACTCAGGCTGCAACATGTTCACTTACCCCACACACAAACACACAAATTCACTCGTGGTGCCACGTTCACACAAACTTATGTTTGATGCACACATGCTCACACACTCTGTGCACATATATATACACTCATGTAGGCTGACACATGTTCACTCACCTACCCTCATGCTTCGTGTGCCCAGTGCCCACACACTCTCTCACATGACACATGTTCGTACACTCATGCACACACAGAATCTTGCCTCCTGAGTGCCCAGGACAATGGATTTGTCCAAGTCTTTGGCCCTTTTAGAGGGCCCAGGAAGCAGAGAACTGGCTCCAGCTGTCTATCTATGAAATATGAAGAAAGGCCCTAATGGAGGAGATGGATGAGAGAGGCCCTGTTCTCTGGAATGTATATGAGTCTTCAATTTCTCGGTGCCTCACTTGTCTTGGGAAGATTTTATAACCCACCATATGGCGAGAGCAGCAACTGATCATTGACTTCCTCATGCCAGGCTTCATCTGTGGCTGCTATATAAAGTTTCTCCGTTGTAACATTAATTATTTTGGTTTACATAAATAACTAGTTTCTTCTCATCAAATGCTACTTAGATATGGTGGCTTTTAGTTAGTCTGCAAAGAGGAAGAGGTAACCTATGGAATCTGGAGGGAAGGAGGCAGGGTAATTACCAGGTTCGAATGGAGTCCCTCAGCAGCCTAGCAGGAGAATGGAGTGGGGAGGTCTGGCCTTAGGAGTTTTGCCCACATGTCTCTGCATGGATAGCTGGCAGGCTGGTTAAGGTGAGGAATCGAGCACTCCCCTTCCCCACAACATTATACCGGATAGATGCACAAGGGAGTGGAGCAGGAGCACATGCAGGGTAGGGGATGGGCTTGGGCCTGTGGCAGGCCCATTTTCTAACCCAAGTAGTCCCAGAAACTATTGCTTCATCAGGTATTAAATGATTGGCATCATATTAATACATACACAGGTCTTGGCATTAACCATTAAACATTTCCATTAAACTCTTTACCATTGTACTCCTTGTGCCCAGCAGGTGTTAAACATATTTTTGTTTGATTAATAAAACATAGTACACTTTGTGTGTTGTTAACTTACTAATTGACAGATAAGTTAACTTCCCTTTCTAAACTGTACCCGCTGAGCACGGGGTCTACTAATATACATCCAATTTTCAAGCACACTCTGCTTGGGTACGACACGGGCCAGTGCAGGGTACTGACTGTCCATGGTGAGTGTGGGAGGTCAGCAGAAAACCCTATAGTTTTCCAGGCTTTTTCTGTGACCATGTCTGTGAACTGAGCCAGCATCTTCAAACCTGTCTGCTTACCTGTCCACCAGTGCTGAGCCCCATGGGAAACAGCCTTAGCCCCTGCAGCCCCAGCTCAACTGTCCCATCCCCAGGCCTTGTTCATATGATCCGCTTCTCCTGGGCCCATGGTGAAGGCTCACCAGCTGCACGCTAGAGACAACCGAGCCGAAAATAATTATTTGTACAATTGAGATACTTTATCTCAGTTACACCAGGACTCTTCTGTGCTATGCCTGCCCAGGCCCCTGTGTCACTGCCAGGCCAGTGAGGGTATGGTTTCCTCTGCATGAGGTTGGTGTGTCTTCCAGGTGTTGTTAGTGTGCCTATGTGTTTGTGTGGGTGAGCCTCCAGGAGCACTGACCTGGAAGTTTAGAAGAGGTCATCAGAATTCAGCCTGGGTTACAATTGCTCCAAGCTCAGCTCTTTGAATATCTTGCCCAGATATATTGCCAGATACCTTCCTCCAGACAGGGGCAGAGGAGTCCTTTTGGAAGAGGAGGAGGAGGCCCTTCTAAAGGGAGTCGTGGAACCAGGTTCAATTACAGAGTGGCAGCCATACAAAAAAAAAAAGAACCAGATCCTAGAAGGAGCATATTCCTAAATTTACTAAGTGAGCATATAGGAACCAAGTACACATGCACACAAATACCTGCACACAGGTGAATGTGAGGTATTACAGAACAATTTGCCTTAAATACACCCTATAACTCCTATTCCATTCTATGAATGTTTTTCATCTGTTTGTTTTTTAATGCTGGTCATAATCCAATGAATTAATTTCATGAGTAAAACATGCAGAATGAAGAACACAGATTAATAGATTTCCCATGTGAGGTTATATATAGTTAATTCCATGCCAATTATCTTGATCCCCAAACAAAGGTACTTATAGCAAAGTAAGACCTGGCCTTAGCACAGATGTGGAGGCTGGTGCATCAGAGAACTCCATGTGCCCGGAAAACAATGTGGATCAAATCCCAGGCTTTTCCTCTGTTTGATCATTATCAGAAAAGGCTGCGGGAAAAATCAATGTGATAATTCATGTAGAATAATGAAACTGGATCCTCAGCTCTCATCTTACACAAAAATAAACTCGGCCAGGTGCGGTGGCTCATGCCTGTAATCGCAGCACTTTGGGAGGCTGAGGCGGGCGGGTCATGAGCCCAAGAGATTGAGACCATCCTGGCCAACATGGTGAAACCCTGTCTCTACTAAAAATACAAAAAATTAGCTGGGCATGGTGGTGCGTGCCTGTAGTCCTAGCTACTCAGGAGGCCGAGGCAGGAGAATTGCTTGAATCTGGGAGGCAAAGGTTGCAGTGAGCCGAGATCGCGCCACTGCACTCCCGCCTGGTGACAGAGCGAGACTCCGTCTCAAAAAGAATAATAATAATAAAATAAACTCAAGATAGATCAAAGACTGAAATCTAACTTGAAACCATAAAAATTCTAGAAGATAACATTCGAAAAATTCTTCTAGACATTGACATAGGCAAAGAATTCATGACTAAGATCCCAAAGCAAATGCAACAAAAACAAAAATAAATAAATGGGACCTAATTAAACTAAAAAGCTTCTGCACAGCAAAAGAAATAATCAGCAGAGTAAACAGACAATCCACAGAGTGGGGGAAAATCTTTGCAAACTATGCATCTGACAAAGGACCAATATCCAGAATCGACAAGGAACTCATACAAATCAGCAAGAAAAAAAACAAATAATCCCATCAAAAAGTGGGGCAGAGGACATGAATAGACAGTTCTCAAAAGAAGATAGACAAATGGTCAACAAACATATGAAAAAACATGCTCAACATCCCTAGTAATCAGGGAAATGCAAATTAAAAACACAATGAGATACCACCTTACTCCTGTTAAGAATGGCCATAATTTAAAAATTAAAAAATGACAGATGTTGGCATGCAGGTGGTGAAAAGGAACACTTTTATACTGCTGGTGGGAATGTAAACTAGTACAACCATTATGCAAAACAGTATGGAGATTCCTCAAAGAACTAAAAGTAGATCTGCCATTTGACCCAGCAATCCCACTACTGGGTGTCTACCCAGAGGAAAAGAAGTGATTATATGAAAAAGACACTTGCACATGCATGTTTATACTAGCAGTGACCTTGGTTATCTGCTTCACCTCTCAGAGAATCTCATTTCCTTGTTTTAAATGGGGACCATAAGCCCCCAGGGTGTTTAAAGTAAGAGAAGAGATGCCCCAGCACAAGGTGGCTATGAGGCTAGTAAGATGATAGTATGTCTGCTTTCTGGAGATTTACAGAACTAAGAAGTTGCAAAACCACTTATGCAGCTATGAGATTGGCTTTGCCCCCTCAACTCCTTGCCCAGGTCAGAACAGGACAACTGTCAGATTGAGGAGGCAGAAAGGGCACGTGGATGTGCCTTCACCAAAGGCCAACAGTAAGGGCTAGAGGGAAGAGCCCAGTGTGCAGAACACAGTCAACAGGACCTCAGTTGAAAGATACTGGGCTCACCTGTTGCAGAGACCGAGGAGGTGAGAGGAAATCTGCGGATTAGGGCTTTGCCTATCTCAAAGATCCCAAAAGGAATATTAGAGAGGGTCCCTCATGGTCCCTCATACTAGAGGATAGTCAGTAACATTCACCACCCCCCAGAGGCCATTACAGCCAGATTGCAACCATATCACAAGCGAGACTTGTCCTGATTTTCACCACTGCCTCTCCTCTCCCCACTTCTCTACCCTTTACCACCCTCCCCACTCCCACACAGACACCTTGTAAGGGTCCCAAACATCAGATGCTCATAGCAGAGGAGGTAGGGGAAAGAAAAGACCAGAAGCTGACTCTTTTCTTGTCCCTCCTGCTGATTTCTCACTCCAAGGTAGGACTGAGCTGGGGCGAGGGAGATTTAAGTTCAACAAGGGTCTAGGGCTTGTTTATTAGAATGTCTGGACTTCTGATTACCTGAGCGTGACCGGGAGACAGTATATTCCCTGAGCATGGCCAGAGAATTAACAAACCTGTGTAGTATTCCAGCCAATTCTTGGGGACTATAATGTGTCCCTTTTGGAGCTGTGATGCAGGGGGCAGTGATGTGAAGACATCAAGTCGCTTTCAGTGATTCCAGAGCAGATTCCTTAATTCTATCTCACTCTGTCCCCAGGACCCAAAGGCCTGGTCTCCCTCAGTGGAGCATAGGCAGAGAAAAGAGTTCAGATTCACCAGTACTCATTGTGGAGGAAGAAGACCCCAGGGGCTGAGCAGAGAAGGGAAGGAGGAGGCTCTCACCGGCCTTTGCACTGACCCCAGAAATCCTGGTCTGTCATCCCAAATCCAACTCTGCTGACTGAAGACTTGTCCACTCCTCTCAGTCACTGAGATCCCTAGTTTTGGCCCCAATGGCTTCTCACCCTCCCCTCTCTCACTGAGCCATCCACACCGGGCAGCCTGAGTACTGGACAGACAGCCTTTCACTCTTGGAAATACTGGCTTTGTTGGGAAGAGGAAAAAGCATAATCTGATTTCACTTTTCTTTTTCATATATGGAGCCTTCAAGAAAAAGCCAGAGTCTTAAATTCCAGCCAGAGCTTAAATATCAACACTCTCTTACTTTTTAACAGGCAAGTTAGGCATTTCTGTTCCAAATACTCTGGCTGGTTTGAAAAAAAATCAGATGGGAATCTCAGTCTTCCATCTAATGAGAGATTTGGAGCTACTATCTCTGCTTTGGGCCTCAGGTTCTTTGGATGTTGATCATCAGTGATACCCCTCAGGGCGGTGGGTGCCACACTAAGAAAACTTCTGGTGCCCTAGTATGCAAAGAGCCCCATGCAGATTTCACCCATAACGAGAGCCCCTCTATCTCTTGCCATTACAGCCCAGCCCCACTCAGCCACAGCAAGGCAGGTGCCAAAGGATTTTGCCAGCGCATCTTACCTCCTTGTTGTGGCAACAGTCAACGGTTTCCAAAACCCCAAAAATGTACATCCATCAGATGTGACTTTCTTGGAAAGACAGTAGGAGCAGAGGGGGCTGAGTCAAGTGCAGCCAGTTAAGTAAAAGGTGGCAAGAAGAGATGCATTTAGTGCGGAATTCGCAAGTGAGGGAAGAGATACTAGGCGTTTTTCTGATGGTTAGTCCCTGGGTGTGGGAGGCTGCAGATGGAGGGGAGCATGGGTGTCTGATAGAAGAGGAAAGTGTCCTGCAAATGGGCTGAGGTCCTAGGTCCTCCTCAGCCAGTGTCTGGAGCTTTTCCTCCATTGTGTCTGAGATTCATTATCTTAAAGTTATTTTCATTTCATTCAGGCTTTATGAAGTTGAAGTAGATAATGTATGTGTAGGCATTCAAGAAATCCTGAAGAATTTAGTTATTTAAATTCTCATTATTATTCCATTGTTCTAGCTGATGTTCATCCAAGACTATAGAATAAAGTACTCCTTATCCAACTCACGTAGAGACTGGGTAGTGGGCAGGGGTACAGGGGCATGCCTGCTGTGTATCTAGGTCCCTGACAGAAGGGACACAGAGGACGGAATGACCAGGAACAAGGGTTACTTCCCATCTGTTGTAGGCTGGTTCTCTTTCATCCTAGCTCTTCTCAGTCGTTGCCTCTTTTGAACTCTTCATCTCTTCATGCTGCTGACTTTAGCTGGGTATCCATGGGTAATATTCAATATATTTATCCATCAGAGATGTGGACCTGAGCACATAATGACCTCCCCACCATTGACACCAGAAGCTTGCTGGTACCCAGAGGAGGAAGCTCAGTGAGGATGTACTCTGTTATCAATAGAGCCTGGCAATAGACCCTAGTTACCCAAATCTGCCTTTGCAAGAATTTTGAATCAATTGCCCAAATTCTTAAGTTGACAAGGGAGGGAAAGAGAGAGAGTCTGTAAACTGGCCAGCCAACTCTATTAACTTGAATTAGGTGTCCTCCCAACATGTCTCTCTGCTTTTCTGCTGTAGAGCAGTCTTCAGATCCAAGAGAGCCCATTTGCCCAGTGTGCATGTTCAGCCTAGAAGTAGAGAGGAGGAAATATTTGGGGGGTACCTTTACCAATGTGGGTTGGGAGCCAGGTCCAAGCTGCCCACATTGTCCCAGTTGGACAATTTGGGGGCATATGCGTGTTGGATTGAGCCCCAGTTAAATAAGGCAGGATCACCCACAGGATAATCTATCTGTAGCCAAGTCCTTGTTTTGGGGGCATTGCTTTTGTAGAACCTAAACTAAAATAGCTTGGCCAAATGCCTCTAAGATTAAATGAGATGAAAGTAAGAATTATATTGTCTTTATGTCTTAAACCATCAACACCCTATTGCTGGATCTTGGAAGAACCAAGAATTGTAGGAAACAAAGATTGCTGTCATCTCTAGGAAGGACTCCAATGATTCTGTTAGGTCCAGACCCAAGTCATCCATTAGAAGTGTTCATGAAATTTATCTTCAGTCTCTGGAATGGTAATCTACTATTTCTATCAATCACTTCATGATACTGAAGCAGTTTCTTCTACAGCACATCTCCTCCCCTTTACTGTTGTTTTAAACCATTTAAATTCACCAACTAAGTGGACTTAATTTGGCACCATAGCACAGTGTAGAGTGGAATTCATGCATTTATCTCTCTTGTTTTCCTGAATCCCTCTGAAATAATAGTAAATAAAGAACAAAAAGATGGGGTGGGGTGATCAAATGGGAAGAAGAGTTCTACAATTATGCAAATTTCTGAAAGTATGCATGTGTGGCAGTAAATTTCAGGATTTTTCCACTTTCTCCATAAGGATTGTCACTTTCTAAAGAACATTTCTCTTTTCTGTAACCGGTTCATACAGTTGTGAAAAGTAAAGTAGAAGTTCCTCTTCGAAGACTTTCCACCCCATCTAATTAGGAATAAATAGTAACTTCTCTTAGAAGCAAAATTTATTCAAAGACCTGTGCTAACGTTCTTAAATATCTGCTAGACATAATAAAGAAATCAATGTACTTTATGTTCTTAGCTCCTACAATTTAGCCTAAATATTTGCCCTGGCATGTTTATACTGGTCCAAGCAAGCATTAGGTCACAGCCTGTTCTTCGTTATTTGAAGGTGTTTTTACCTTTATCAGCATTCCACAAGTTACTTTCTCCTTCTTTTGTTCTCCTCTGCCTTTTCCTCTTTTAAAAATGTTCTAGATTGCTAGCCAATCAAGACAAATACAGAATGTGAAGCCCTGTTCCAACCAATAGAAACTAGACACAGTAGTAAGGTGGACACATCAAGTTATAAATGACCTTGTCTTCTTTGTTCGGTGTACTCCTGTGGCAAAACTGCTGGCGAGTGTAACATTTCTGCAGAAAGTATAAAAATGGCCTTGCCGAGAAAATTAAATTTATGTTCAGGTGCTATTTCTTTATGGCACCGAAGAACAAGCATTTCAAACAATTTGGTGGCTGGTACAGGGATACATTCTCCTCTGGGGATGGTCTCCAGTCCTCTCTCATGAAGGAGCATGCTCCTCTGCCTCATTGCAGTGGCCTCAGGGATAAGGACTCGAGACCCACCCACTGTGACAAATAAACCCGGACTCTCAGCAATGCAAAAAAAGAAAAAACACTGGCCGGTGACCTGGAGTAAAAGATCCTCATATATCACCTAAACCAGGAAACTGTGTGCACAGACCAAGGAAAGAAACACCAGGAGAGCCAGTAAACTATTTCCTTGGTAGTCAAGACTAAAAAAAAAGCTGCAGGGTGGTAAAGCATTCCTTGGTTAGGACATACCAAGGAGGGAGAAACTGCAGGGGCGATAAAGCATTCCTTGGGCAGGACTAAGGAAAGAAAGCGACAGGGGGCAGTGAAGTATTCCTTAGTCAGGATGTCTTGGAGGTCAAAAAAGAGGTGAGAAATCCCCACTGTAGAAGTTGAACCTCAAAAAGAGGTGAGAAATCCCCATTGAGGGGGGCTTGAACCTCAAAAAGAGGTGAGAAATCCCCATTGAGAGGGGGTTGAACCTCACACAAACCTCTGGTAGTAAAAAAAAAAAAATATATATATATATATATATATATATATATTTTTTTTTTTTTTCAAAACTCCCCTTCCCCCTCTTCCCGAGGAAAGAAAAAGGCTAAGCTCCTCTCCCCGGTGGCTCCCCTAGAGGAAGAGGAAGGAGAGGGAGGAAAACAGCAGCATAGGTGGCTGGCAGAGGCAAAGGAAAGACCAGCAGAGAGGAAAAAGAAATTAGGAGAGGAAATTCAGAGAGAAAGAGAGCAAAAACAGCAAGCATGGTGCCAGACAGCCAGGCACCTTAACTTAACTAACCTAAAGTTAAGTCCCTCTCCCCAGCCCAGCTCTGTGTGAAAAAGAGGGTGAGGACCAGTGCCAGGAGGACAGCAGAAGAGGTGAAAAGGTACAATTCTTGCAAGTTGCGGCAGGCATCTGCCAAGCCTCAAGGCCGGTGAAGGCCCAGGGCCAGGACTGCAGCCGTGCAAATCCCACCCAGCCTGAGAAACTAAGTGTAGGAAGAAAGGGAAAAAAAAAGTAAAAAATGAAATCAGAAAAAAATAAAAACAGGAGAAATAGATGGCAGCGCATACTTGGGGGCGAGGCCCATGCCTTTGCCCAGCCCCACCAGCTGCAAGACCAGGAAAACTCAGAAAGGAAAAAAGAAACAGAGGATGACAGACAGAGAAAGAAAAATAGAATGCAAATGAGAGAGAGGAAAATAAGAGTGCAAATGAGAGAGAGAGAAATAGAATAAAAGAGTAAGAGAGAAACTGGAAGAGACAGAAATCAAAGAAAGACCCAGAAGGTGAAACTAAGAAAAGAAATAGTGTAAAAGGAAGGCAGAAAGTTAAGACATGTTGAAGATTGTCTGTGAAAGTCATAAGGAAAGTTATAAAAAGGAATTTATGCAAGAAATATTGTATAATTTAAAAGTAATTAGGCCTTCTGAATGTAAAACTATTTTAAAAACAGTTTATGTACAAAGTATGTAAGAAAAATAAAATATACTTTTAATAACAGGATTATAAGGAGGCATAAGAATATGGATTTTTACCTATATTAAAAGGTTAAAAAACTTGTTTTAAAGGTTTAAGCAAGTTTTAAAATGTTAATTGTAAAGGAAATTCTGTGTGTAAACATATTGGCTAAAGTTAAAGAGGTATCATCCAGTTTTTCTGTGAACTGAACGTTAAAATAAAAGCACAATAGATTTTTCTTAAAGCACTAACCTGCTCTTTAACAAAAATTATAAAAGGTTAAAAAGAGTCTATAAAAATCTTACCTTATAGTCAGACATTAAAATTGGATAAATAATGTCTACAAGATTTTATTAAAATTAAGTTTAACATTAATAGCACATTAATATGAAGGTAAAATTTAACTTATCTCGTATAAAATCATACAAAAAGCATTGTCAAATATAAAATGGTGTTTAGCTTTCTTAAGGCCTGAAGGTGGCCAGGTAAGTCACAAGGCCCCTCATCCCCAAGGCCACAACGCGCAGGGGCGGTGAAGGCCACAAGATGGCCAAGACCTTAAGAGGGATCAAGGCCGCCACGTACCCTGGGCGGCGCTGAGAAGGAATGGAGTGGGAGGCATCACCATGAGGCCTCAAGCCCCAAGATATGCAATAGAAATGATATGCTTAATTTATCTTCCACTTTCCCTTCCCTCAGAACTAAAAGTCTTTTAGCACAGGTGCCACCCCTAGAATTTCCAGTGCACCAGCACCAGCCTAAAAATCACATCCTCATCAAAAGATAGAAAAAAAATTCACGCCAGCCTAGGAAGGACCCTATTTTATGCTGTTAACCACTGAGACTGCCATCCGCACAGCCAAGAAAGAATGGACCCACCATACTCGAGTCAAGAAAACATCTTAGGTTACTGTACTAAGATCAAGCCCTACTAAGTTAAAGAAAGCTTAATTTTCATATACATTCTATATTGCTTCCTTTTCTTTCCTTATTCTGTTACTAGCTCCTTTGTTATTAATGTAACTAAGTCTGCCTCAGACCATTGCCTTTAATGCTTGCTCTATCATACCTTGTGGAAATGTAAAAGATCAACGACAGTTAGCCTTTTCACACAAATATTTATATCCTGGCCCTCTAATTGACACAGTTACCCCTAGCACTCATCGTTGTGATCACCTGCAGCCAAGACACTGATTTTCTGCTCCTACAGCCTGGTAACCTTGTAGTAAATAGGACTACGTCCTTTAAACTACTCAGGAGCAAAGTTAGACTTCCACGAAAAAGGTTTGTGCAGATCTAAAACCCTTCATCTATTTCACTAAAAAGACTACCCCTTCTAACTGCTAGCCTTATCAATGTAACCCTGTCCTTCTCTCTGTCACTACCTCCACCTTAACTAACTCTACAAAACGGGCATTATTACCCCCATCTTCCCCTTCTTCAGTAGCCTCAGTTCTAGATCCCACACTGGTCGCTCCTACATCTAATAAAACTAGAGTGTCTATTGTAAAAATAAGAGATCTAAGACAGACAGAACTTAGCCATCAAGACAAAATATCAAGATGCAAATGCGTAGCTGGAGTGGATTAAATATTCCGTTCACACTTTAAATAAAAGCGATTATTAAACTTGTATGCACGGTAGGCCAGAGGCCCAGATTATCCTCTTTCCACTCAGATGGTCTCCTCATCGACCAGATACGGACTGTATGGTGGCTCTTTTTCAGAATCCAATTACTTAGGATAATCCATCATGCCAAGCTCTCTCTGCTATTTCCTGAAATTCAACACTCTGCTGGTAAGCCCCTGAAGGCAATCCAGCTTCCACCTCTAAATGCCAAGTTTACTTTATGCATCTCATGGCAAGAGGAAAATTTGGTGTTCTTTGGAAGCACACAAAGATGCGAGGAGCTCGAGCCTTTCCAAGAGCTTGCCCATCAGTCCATGCTTAGCCATCCCCAAGCAAATGTATGGTGGTACTGTGAAGCACCTTTACTGGACACTCTGCCAAATAATTGGAGCAGTACTTGTGCTCTAATCCAATTGGCTATCCCCTTCACCCTGGCATTTCATCAATCTAAAAAAGTAAAAACAAAGCACCACAGGCCAAGAGAAACTCCTTATGAATCCTTTAATCCTCAGTTTTACATAAATGCTATTAAGGTCCTTTGAGAAGTGCCAAATAAGTTTAAAGCACAAAATCAAACAGCTGCACAATTTGAATCCACGTATTTCTGGTAAGTAACTTTAAATAAAAAAAAATGTAGACTAAATAAACTATATCTACTACAATCAGCAACAATTCATACATTACACTGAGGACGTCATCAAAGAGATTGCTAAACATCAAAGAGATATCTAAGCTAAGCCAGATGGCCTAGAAAAATAAAATAGCTTTAAATATAATATTAGCAGAAAAAGGAGATGTTTGTGTCATAATTAAAACTCAATATTGTACCTTTGTTCCTAATAATACTGCCCTGATGGAACTATAACAAAAGCGCTACAAGGATTAACAGCCCTATCCAATAAACTTGCCAAAAATTCAAAAATAAATAATCCTTTTTCTAAAATATTAAAACAGCCAAGAGCGGTGGCTTACGCCTGTAATCCCAGCACTTTGGGAGGCTGAGGTGGGTGGATCACGAGGTCAGGAGATCGAGACCATCCTGGCTAACACGGTGAAACCCCGCCTCCACTAAAAATGCAAAAAAATTAGCTGGCGTGGTAGTGGGCACCTGTAGTCCCAGCTACTCGGGAGGCTGAGGCAGGAGAATGGCGTGAACCTGGGAGGCGGAGCTTGCAGTGAGCCAAGATTGTGCCACTGCACTCCAGCCTGGGTGACAGAGCAAGACCCCGTCTCAAAAAAATAAATAAATAAAGAACAAAATAAAAATAATAATAATAATAATAAAATAATAAAGTATTAGTTAAGTGGATAAAAATAAATTTTAACTTCAATTCTCACCTTGTTAGCTTTTGTTATTAGTGTGCTTATTCTTGTAGGCTATTATTCCCTGCTTTCAAAGTTTTATACAAAAATTTGTCTCTGCCACTCTTACAGAGTTAACTCCTAACTCTCCTCCACCCTATTCAGAAAAATTACTTCTCTTAGAAAGACAAATAAAGCAATTAAGTCAAAACATATTAAACAAGTTTGAAGAGGAATTATGAAATAAAAAGAGAAGGAATTGTGAAAAGTAAAGTAGAGGTTCCTCTTCAAAGACTTTCCTCCTCATCTAATTAGGAATAAATAGTAACTTCTCTTAGAAGGAAAATTTATTCAAAGACCTGTGCTAACATCCTTAAATATCTGTTAGCCGTAATAAAGAAATCAATGTACTTTATGTTCTTAGCTCCCACAATTTAGCCTAAATATTTGCCCTGGCATGCTTATACTGGTCCAAGCAAGCATTAGGTCATTGCCTGTTCCTCTTCCTTATTTGAAGGTGTTTTTACCTTTCTCAGCATTCCACAAGTTACTACCTCCTTCCTTTGTTCTCCTCTGCCTTTGCCCCTTTTAAAAAGTTCTAAGTTCCTAGCCAATCAAGACAAATACAGAATGTGAAGTCCTGTTCCAGCCAATAGAAACCAGACACAGCAGTAAGGTGGACGCATCAAGTTATAAATGACCCTGTCTCCTTTGTTCAGTGTACTCTTGTGGCAAAACTGCTGGCGAGTGTACCCTTTCTGCAGAAAGTATAAAAATGGCCTTGCTGAGAAAATTAAATTTATGTTCAAGTGCTATTTCTTTACAGCACCAAAAAACAAGCATTTCAAACATAGTGTTGATCATCCCACACGGGATGATCAACTTTGGTTACAACTTTGGACCATTCTGCTTCCAAAGTGTGGGTGTTTTGGGAGTCCCTGGAGTATCTACTCCCTGGTGTAATGTGCTGGTTCAGGGCAGACACTGTGTGCTGAATTTAATAATTGTTCAAACACATGCACAACATACACACATACACACACAATTTGTTCATTTATATGTTCATGATAAGAGGCCCATACAGCCCTTTGCCTTATGAGTGGGTCTCCTCAGCAAGGGAAAAACCATGGTTTCCCAGCCAAGCAGATAAAGGGAGGTGCCCCAAAAGGGCATAGAGAATAAAAAATGCAAATTCCTACTCCTGTTTTTTGGATCCCTCCAGAAATTAGAACTCCCTGGTGTCAGACCCTCAAGCAGCAGCTGGAAAAGTCTTGCTGATGTCACCCTGTACAGAGAGTTTCATGATTATTTATTCAATTCATTTAGCATTTATAGGTTTGTTCAATTTTTCTGCTTAAGTCAGTTTTGGTCATTTGCGTATGTAGTAATTTGTCCATTGCCTTTGGTTATTTAATTTTCTGGTGAATAATTTTTCATTATTCTCTCTGATAATCTTTTTTATTTCTGTAAGGTTGGTAAGTAATGTCCTCACTTTCATTTCTGGATTTAGTTATTTGTGTTTTCTCTGGTTTTCTTTGCTGGTCTAACTAAAGGTTTGTCAATTTTGTTAATCTTTTCAAAGAATCAACTGATGTTTTTATTGATTCTCTCTATTGTTTATCTATCTCAATTTCATTGAACTCTACTCTCATCTTTATTGTTTCCTTCCACTAGCTTTGAGTTTCATTTGCCCTTTTCCCCTAGTTCTTCAAGGTGTAAAGTTATGTTAATTTGAGATTTTTCCTCTTTTTAATGTAGGTGTCCACACCTGTAAACTTCCCTTTGAGCACTCCTTTCCCTACATCACATTAGTTTTGGTATGTTGTACTTTTATTCTCACTCCTCTCTAAGTATTTTATAATTTCCATTGTGATTTCTCCTTTGACCTGCTGGATGTGTAACAGTGTGCTGTTGAATTCCACAGATTTGTAAATCTTCCAGTTCCTCGTCTCTTATTGATTTGTAGTTTTGTTTAGTTTGGTTTTTTTTTTTGTAGTCAGAAAAGATGCTTTGCGTGATTTCAACATTTTTAAATTCACTGAGACCTATTTTGTGGCCTAACATCCTGGAGAATATGCCGTGTGCTCTTGAGAAAATATATATATAATCTGCTCTGGTTGAGTGTATTGTTCTATATTGTTAGGTCTATTTAGTTTTTAGTGTTGCTCAATGTCTCTGGGTCCTTACTGATCTCCTGTATGAATGCTTTATCCATTATTGAAAGTGGAATATTGAATTATCCAACTATTATTGGGGAAATTTCTGCCTTGATCTCTTTTCATTATTATTTGTATGAAATATGTTTTTCCATTCTTTCACTCTCAGCCTATGTGTATCTTTAGATCTGAAATGACTCTATAGGAGTCTCTGCTTTTTGACTGGGGAGTTAAATTCACTTACATTTAGTAATCATTGGTAAGGAAGAACTTATTTTTGCCATTTTACTTTTTCTTTCTATATTATACTTTACCCCTCTCATTTCCTCCATTACTACCTTCTTTTTATGTTTAGTCCATTTTTAATTTTTTAAATTATTTCATCTTTTATTTTAGATTCAGGGGGTACATGTGCGGTTTCTTACCTGGGTATATTGTGTGATGCTGAAGTTTGGGGTACAATTGATCCCATCACCCAGGTTGTGAGCATAGTACCCAATCATTTGTTATACTTGGACCCCTCCCTTCCTCCGCCCTTTCTTCAGTGTCTACTTTTGCCATCTTTATGTTCACAAATACTCATTTTTTTAACTCCCACTTATAAGTGAGAACATGCAGTATTTGGTTTCCTGTTCCTGCATTAATTTGCATAGGATAATGGCCTCCAGTAACATCCACGTGGCTGCAAAGGATGTGATTCATTTTTTATGGCTGCATAGTATTCCATGATATATATGTACCACATTTTCTTTATCCCGTCCATTGTTGATGGACATCTAGGTTGATTCCGTGTCTTTGCTATTGTGAATAGTACTGGGATGAACATATGAGTGCATATGTCTTTTCAATAGAATAATTTATTTTCTTTTAGCTATATACCCAGTAATGGGATTACTGGATCGAAAGGTAATTCTATTTTAAGTTCTTTGAGAAGTCTCCAACCTGCTTTCCACAGTGGCTGGGATAATTTACATTCCCACCAACAGTGTGTAAACATTCTCTTTTCTCTGCAGCCTCACCAGCATCTGTTATTTTTTGACTTTTTAATAATAGCCATTCTGACTGATGTGAGATGGTATCTCATTGTGGTTTTGATGTGCATTTCTCTAATGCTTAGTAATGTTGAGCATTTTTCCATATGCTTGTTGGCCACTTAGAGGTCTTCTTTTGAGAAGTGTCTGTTCATGACTTTGCCCACTTTTTAATAGGGTTGTTTGGTTTTTGCTTGTTGGTTTGTTTATGTTTCCTACAGGTTCTGAATATTAGACCTTTGTCAGATGGATTGTTTGTGAACATTTTCTCCCACTCTGTATGTTTTCTCATTACACTATTGATAGTTTCCTTTGCTGTGCAGAAACTCTTTAGTTTAAATAGGTCTCACTTGTCAATTTTTGTTTTTGCTGCAATTGTTTTTGAGGACTTAGTCATAAATTCTTTCCCAAAGCCAATTGTCCAGAATGGTGTTTCCTAGGTTTTCTTTTAGGATTCTTATAGTTTGAAGTCTTGTATTTATATCTTTAATCCTTCTTGAGCTAATTTTTGTATATGGTGAAATGTAGGGATCTAGTTTTTTTTTGTTTTGTTTTGTTTTGAGACAGAGTCTTGCCTTGTCGCCCAGGCTGGAGTGCAGTGGCGTGATCTCAGCTCACTGCAAGCTCCACCTCCTGGGTTCACGCCATTCTCCTGCCTCAGCCTCCCGAGTAGCTGGGACTACAGGTGCCTGCCACCACACCCAGCTAATTTTTGTATTTTTAGTAGAGACGGGATTTCACCATGTTAGCCAGGATGGTCTCAATCTCCTGACCTCGTGATCTGCCCGCCTCAGCCTTCCAAAGTGCTGGGATTACAGGCGTGAGCCACCGTGCCTGGCTAGGGGTCTAGTTTCATTCCTTTGTGTGTGGCTAGCCAGCTATCCCAACACCATTTATTGAACAGGGAGTCCTTTTCTCATTGCTTGTTTTTGTCAACTTTGTCGAAGATCAGATAGCAGTAGGTATAAGGCTTTATTTCTGGGTCCTCTATTCTGTTGCATTGGTCTATGTGTCTGTTTTTGTATCAGTACTATGCTGTTTTTGTTACTATACCCTTATAGTGTGGTTTGAAGACAGGTAATGTGATGCCTCTGACTGTGTTCTTTTTGCTAGGGATGGCTTTGGCTGACTGGGCTCCTTTTTGGTTCCACATGAATTTTAGAAGAGTTTTTTCTAATTGTGTGAAAAGTGACATTGGTAGTTTGATAAGAATAGCACTGAATCTGTAGATTGCCTTGGGGAGTCTGGCAATTATAACAATACTGATTCTGCTAATCTGTGAGCATGGAATATTTCTCCATTTGTTTGTGTAATCTATTATTTCTTCTAGCAGTGTTTTGTAGTTCTCCTTGTAAAGATCTTTCACCTCTTGGTTAGATGTATTCCTAGGCATTTTAATTTTTGTGGCTATTGTAAATAGGATTGCATTCTTGATTTGGCTCTCAGCTTGAATATTACTAGTGTATCAAATTGCTACTAATTTTTGTACATCGATTTTGTATCTTGAAATTTTACTAAAGTCTATAAGGAAAAAGCTTTTGATAAAATCCAACATTCCTTTATGATTAAAAACCCACAACAAACTTCATTGAAGGAACATACCTCAAAATAATAAGGCCACCTATGACGAATCCACAGCCAATGTCATACTGAATGAGCAGCAACTGAAAGCATTCCCATTGAGAGCTGGAACAAGACAAAGATGCTCATTCTCGCCATTCCTATTCAGCATAGTACTGGAAGTCTAATCACAGCGATCAGGCAAGAGAAAACAAAATAAACGGCATAGAAAAGGGAGAAATCAAATTATCTCTCTTCTCTGACAATATGATCCTATACTAGAAAACCCTGAAGACTCTGCCCAAATGCTCCTAGAACTGATAAACGACTTTAGTTTATTTTTTTAGTGTACCATTTCAAGTCCCTTCCCAAAAATAAATGAAGAAATAAAAGACCACAAAAAAACAAAACAAAACAAAACAAAACAAAACTCTCTCAATCATTGCAGATTAGCATAGTTCTGGAACACTCCTTCAATGCTTAACAGGCTGTTTATAATTCTGCCTTAGCCTTCTCTTAGAGCTTGCACTGACCCAGCTGTTAGCCAGAGGTGAAAGTTGAGGGTCTTCTCAGGTTTGTTCTTTCTTCTTATTTTCTTTTATTATATACATTTTATTTTCTTTCTTTATTTAATTTATTTACATAGACAAGTAAAATTGTATATATTTATTTTGTACAACATGTTTTTAGATATGTATACACTGTGGAATGGTAATGTAATCAACATACATATTACCTCACATATTTATCATTTTTGTATGTGGTAAGACCACAAAATCTACCGTTAGGAATTTTCAAGGAAAAAAATGCATTGGTATTAACTATAGTCATGATGTTGTACAACAGATATCTTGAACTTATTCTTCTTACCCAGCTGAAATTTTATAGCCTTTGACCAACATCTCCCCAACTCTCACCCCACTACTGAGTCCCAGGAAACCACCATTCTGCTCTCTTCTTCCACGAGATCAACTTTTTTAGATTCTACATATAAATAAGATCATGCGGTATGTGTCTTTTTGTGCCTGGCTTATTTCACTTAACATAATGCCCTCCAGGCTTATCCATGGTGTCACAAATGACAGGATTTCCTTCTTTATTAAGGCTGGATAGTATTTCATTGTATATACAGGACGCATTTTTAAAAATATCCATTCACCCCTTTATGGACACTTAGGTTGCTTCCATGTCTTAATTATTGTAAATAATGCTGCAGTAAACATGAGAGTACATGTATTTCTTTGACATACTGATTTCATTTCCTTTGGATGTATACCAAGTAGTGGGATTGCTGGATTACATAATCGTTTTATTTTTTAATTTTTTGGGAAACTTCTGTACTGTTTTTCCTCAGTGTTTTTCTAAATGTATGTCCTGCCCTGGGCATGCACTTGACTTTCTAAATTCCTAGTACACATAGGTGCTTTTGAGTGCCCCAATTTTCTAAAGAAACTCTGTTCCCTGCTTTTCCTTTTATGCTTTTGAGTATTTATTACTTTATTCAGTTCTGATATTTTGCACCAAGTGAATGTGGATTGTTTGGTTGTATTACAATGTTTTTGAGGAATGCTTACTAATTTCTACCTTTTATGCTGTCTTTTGCTCCATTCAGCATTTGCTTGGCTGTTACTCAACTTTGACCATTTTCCAGAGTTCTGATAAATTTGGTTCTGACTTTTTATGTAATTTTTTTTCCTTTCAAATGTATTTAGAGCTTCACATTTCTACTGAGCACACCTTTAGCTGCATTCCACAAATTTAACATATTATATTTTAATCATCATTAAATATGAACTATTTTTAAATATTCATCGTAATTTTCTTTGGCATTATTTTGCAGTATATTGCATAATTTCCAAACTTAGAAGCTTTTTTCCCAATATCATTATAATGGCCCAGTTTATGGTCTTTTCAGATATCTGTTGCATGTAAACTTGAAAGAAATATGTGTTTTTTAGGCTGAGAGTGTAGTGTTATATATGTTACTTAAATTCAATTATCATTACATATGAGTTTCTTAAGTCCATTATTCATGTTGTTCATGAATAAATATATAAATGTTTTTAACTCTTCTATCTTCTATTTATTGTTGAGAGAATTGTGTTAAGATTTCCAACTATGTACCTGGATTTCTTTTGTTTTTTAATTATACTTCTGTCATCTTATCCCATTATATATACATTTGAAGCCATGAAATTAATTTTACATAAAATTAGAATTTCTGGCCATTACTTTTAATTGATAATTTTATTAAAGTAATTTATTCATTACTAGTAGTGCTTCCTCAAAGACCAATTTAGTATTATTATAGCTATAAAAGTTTTCACTTGATTAATTTTTAATTGTTAATGTTTCCATCACTTTACTTTCAATTCTTTTTTCTTTTTAATGTAATGTTTATTTTGTATATCATTGAATATTCTTCTAAAACCTAATTTTTAGTAGCTACAATTAAACATTTAGCTTATATTCAACTTTTCATTGTGTATAAAAATATTAAGATGAACATTATTACATATGAATCTTTACATACATCTATGATTATTTTTCTAAGCCAGAAACAATAAGTAGAATTTTTCTAGTTTGAAGGTATGCATGTGCCTTTTTTAACATGACAAGTTTTTTTATAAATACTTGACAAAAAACAATGGTATATATTTATGACATACAAAGTGATGTTTTGATATGTGTATACATTATGGAATAATTAAATCAAGCTAAAATTAACATATTCATCACATATTTAACATTTGTGGTATGAGCTCATAAAATCTCTCTTAGCAATTTTGAAATATACATTACATTATTAACTATGGTCATTGTGCTGTGCAATAGATCTTCAAAACTTGTTCTTCCTGTCTAACAGAAATTTTGTACCTTTTGATGAACGACTCCGTATTTCCCCTCATCCTCTGGTGACTTCTATTCTACTCTTTACTTTCATGAGTTTTATTTTTTTATATTCCATATATAGGTGAGGTCATGCAATAGTTGTCTTTCTGAGTCTGGCTTATTTCACTTAACATGATAACCTTCAGTTCCATCCATGTTGCTGCAGATGACTTGATTTCATTCTTTCTTCTGGCCAAATAGTATTCCATTGGGTATGCATACCATGGTTTCTTTATACATTCATCTACTGATGGACACTTGGGTTGCTTCCATAGCTTGGCTATTGTGAATAATGCTGAAATGAACATGGGAGTGCAGATGTTTCTTTGATCCTGATTTCAGTTCCTTTGGATATGCCCAGAAGTGGGATTGCTGGATCATATAGTTTTCTGAGGAACCTCCATGGTGTCTTCCATAATGGCTGTACTAATTTACATTCCCACCAGCAGCATACAAGGGGTTTTTTGTTCACATCCTCACCAAAACTTGTTACCTCTTGTCTTTTTTATAATAACCATCCTAACAGATTTGAGATGGTGTCTCATTTTGGTTTTATTTTGCATTTTGCTGATAATTATTGATGTTGAACATTTTTTCATATACCTGTTGCCCAATTATATGTCTTCTTTTGAGAAACATCTATTTGGGCCCTTTTAAAATTGGATTACTTATTTTCTTATTATTGAACTTTGAGTACTTTATATATTTTGGATATTAACCCCTTTTCAGATGTATGTTGCAAATATTTTCTTCCATTCTGTAGGTTATCTCTTTACTCTATTACTTGCTTCCTATGCTGTGCAGAAGCTTTTTAGTTTGATACAGTCCCATTTGTGTATTTTTGTTTCTGTTGCCTGTGCTTTAGGGGTTATATCTAAAAAATCATTGCCCAGAACAAAGTCATGGAGCGTTTCCCCTATGTTTTCTTCTGGGACTATTACAGTTTCGGGTCTTACATTTAAGTATTTAATCTAATTTCAGTTGATTTGCATACAGGGTGTGAGATAAATGTCCAATTTCATTATTCTGCATGTGGATATCCAGTTTTTCCAACACCATTTATTGAAGAGTGTCTTATCCCCATTGTATTTTCTTGATACCTTTGTCAAAAATCAAGTGACCATAAATGCATGGGTTTAATTCTATTATTTATTCTGTCTCATTGGTTTGTGTGTCTGTCTGTGTGACAATACTATGCTGTTTTAATTACTATAGCTTTGTAATATATTTTGAAGTCAGGTAGCATAATGCCTCAAATGTTGTTCTTTCTGTTCAAGATTGCTTTGGCTATTCAGGCAGTGTCTTTGGTAGTTTCATATAAATTTTTGGATTGTTTCTACCTCTAATGTGAAAAATAACATTGAAATTTTGTAGAGATTGCATTGAATCTGTAGATCACTTTGGGTAGTATGGACATTTTAACAATATTAATTCTTCCAACCCGTGAACTGGTATATGTTTCCATTTATTTGTGTCTTTTCAATTTCTTTCATCAATGTTTCATAATTTCCAGTGTACAGATATTTCACCCTCTTAGTTAGATTTATTTCTAAGTTTTATCTTCTATTATTAAATTATTAAATTTATTCCTAAATTTTAAAAAATTTACTTCTAAATTTTAAATAAAATTGTTTTTATTCTTTTGATACTACTGTAAATGGAATTTTTTTAAATTTCCTTTTCAGATAGGTCACTGTTAGTATATAGAAATGCTCCTAATTTTTCTGTGTTGATTTTGTATCCTACAACTTTACTGAATTTGTTTACTAATTCTACCAGTTTTTTGGTGGAGTCTTTAGGGTTTTGTATATAGAAGATCATGCCATCAGCAAAGAGAGACAATTTCACTTCTTACTTTTCTTTATATATATATATATATATATAATTATACTCTAAGTTCTAGGGTACATGTACACAACATGCAGGTTTGTTACATGTGTACATATGTGCCATGTTGGTGTGCTGCACCCATTAACTTGTCATTTACATTGGGTATATCTCCTAATGCTATCCCTCCCCCCTCCCCCCACCCCACAACAGGCCCCAGTGTGTGATGTTCCCCTTCCTGTGTCCAAGTGTTCTCATTGTTCAGTTCCCACCTATGAGTGAGAACATGCAGTGTTTGGTTTTTTGTCCTTGCGATAGTTTGCTGAGAATGATGGTTTCCAGCTTCATCCATGTCCCTACAAAGGACATGAACTCATCATTTTTTATGGCTGCATAGTATTCCATGGTGTATATGTGCCACATTTTCTTAATCCAGTCTATCATTGTTGGACATTTGGGTTGGTTCCAAGTCTTTGCTATTGTGAGTAGTGCCGCAATAAACATATGTGTGCAGGTGTCTTTACAGCAGCATGATTTATATTCCTTTGGGTATATACCCAATAAGGGGATGGCTGGGTCAAATGTTATTTACATGACTTTTTTTTTCCTAATTGGTCTGGCTAGGAACTTGCAGGAATATGTTGAATAGAAGAGTTAAGAGTGGGCATCTTTGTCTTGTTTCTGATACTGAGAAAAAACTTTCAGCTTTTCAACATTGAATATGATGTTAGCTGTAGGTTTTTCATATATGGACTTTATTTCCTTGAGTTATATTCTTTGTATACTTAATTTGTTGGTTTTTTAAATCATAAAGGGAGGTTGAATTTTATCAAATGTTTTTTCTGCATGTACCAAGATGATTATATGGTTTTTGTTTTTCATTCTGTTAATGTGATGCACTGTTGTCCGTCCCTTATCCACAGCTTCACTTTCTGCAGTTTCGGTTATCCACAGCCAACTGCAATCTGAAAATAATAAATGGAAAATTCCAGAAATAAACAATTCATAAATTTTGAATTGCACATCATTCTGAATTGGGTGATTAAATCTTGCACCACTTCATCCCACTCAGGACGTAAATTATTCCTTTGTTCAGGATATCCACACTATAGACAGTACCTGCCTGTTAGTCACTTAGTAGCTGCCTTCATTATCAGATGTATCATAATACCACACGCTTATATTCAAGTAACTCTTACTTTACTTAATAATGGCCCCAAAGTTCAAGAAGAGTGATGCTGGCAATTCAGATACACCAAAGAGAAGTTGTAAAGTGCTTCCTTTAAGTGAAAAGGTGAAAATTCTTGACTTAATAAGGGGAAAAGTCATATACTAGGTTGCTAATATCTACAGTAAGAATGAATCTTCTATCCATTAAACGCTGAAGGAAAAAAAATTTTGCTAGTTTTGCTCACATCTCAAACTGTAAAAGTTACATCCACAGTGTGTGATAAGTGCTTAGTTAAGATGGAAAAGGCATTAAATTTGCGGGTGGAAGACATCGACAGAAAATGTTCCAATTGACAACGATTGAGTTCAGTACTATCCAAAGTTTGAAGCATCCACTGGAGGTTTTGCAACATATTCCCTGTGGATAAGAAAGGACTACTGGATATCCTTCTTCATGCTAAATATATGTCCAGCATAGACAACAAAGAGTGGTTATGAAAAAGAAGCAAAAGAGAAGTTGAGCTCTCCCCATATCATTGCTTACTCATAAGATCAAATGACTTCGTTTATTAGTTGGGTACACCTATTATAATTTTAAGTGAGTCTCACAGACAGTAAGAAATTTGCCCGTGCTGGGATTACAGACAGAGGTTGGAACAGTTTGGAGGGCTCAAAAGAAGATAGGAGAATGTGGGAAAGTTTGAAACTTCCTAGAGACTTGTTGAATGGCTTTGCCTAAAATGCTGATAATGATATGGACTATGAGGTCCAGGCTGAGGTGGTCTCATATGGAGCTGAGGAACTTTTTGAGAACTGGAGCAAAGGTGACTCTTGTTATGTTTTAGCAAAGAGACTGGCAGCATTTTGCCTCTGCCCTAGAGATTTGTGGAACTTTAACTTGAGAAGGATGATTTAGGGTAACTGGTAGAAGAAATTTCTAAGCAGCAAAGCCTTCAAGCGGTAACTTGGGTACCGTTAAAGACATTCAGATTTATAAAGAAAGAAGAGCATTAATGTTTGGAAAATTTGCAGCCTGACTAAGTGATAGAAAAGAAAAACCCATTTTTCTGGGGAGAAATTCAAGCTGGCTGCAGAAATTTGCATAAGTATCAGGGAGTCTAATGTTAATCCCCAAGACCATGGGGAAAATGTCTCCAGGCCATGTCAGAGACCTTCATGGCGCCCCTCCCATCACAGGCCCAGAGGCCCAGGAAGAAATAATGGTTTCATGGGCCAGGCCCAGGGTCTCCAGGTTGTGTGCAGCCTAGGGACTTGGTCCACTTGTCCCAGCTGCTCTAGCTGTGGCTTAAAGGGGCCAATATACAGCTCGGGCTGTGGCTTCAGAGGGTGGAAGCCCCAAGCCTAGGCAGCTTCCACATGGTGTTGAGCATGTGGGTGCACAGAAGTCAAGAATTGAGGTTTGGGAACCTCCACCTAGATTTCAGAAGATGAATGGAAACACCTGGATGCACAGGCAAAAGTGTGCTACAGGGGTAGGGCCCTCATGGAGAACCTCTGCTAGGGCAGTGCAGAAGGGAAATGTGGGGTTGGAGCCCCCACACACAGTCTCTACTGGGGCACTGCCTAGTGGAGGTGTAAGAAGAGGGCCACTGTTCTCCAGAACCCAGAATGGTAGATCAACCGACAGCTTGCACCGTGCACCTGGAAAAGCCTCAGACACTCAATGCCAGCCCATGAAAGCAGCCTGAAGGAAGGCTCTACCCTGCAAAGCCACAGGGGCAGAGCTGTCCAAGACCATGGGAACCCATCTCTTGCATCAGCGTAACCTGGATGTGAGACCTGGAGTCAAAGGAGATCATTTTGGAGCTTTACAATTTGACTGCCTCTCTGGATTTCAGACTTCATGGGCCCCGTAACCCCTTTGTTTTGGCCAACTTCTCCCATTTGGAATGGCTGTATTTACCCAATACCCCCATTGTATCCAGGAAGTAAAGCTTGCTTGTGATTTTACAGGCTCATTGGTGGAAGGGACTTGCCATGTCTCAGATGAGTCTTCCGACTGTGGACTTTTGGGTTAATGCTGAAATGAGTTAAGACTTTAGGGGACTGTTGGGAAGGTATGATTGGTTTTGAAATGTTAGGATGTGAGATTTGGAGGGGCCAGGGGTGGAATTATATGGTTTGGCTGTGTCCCCACCCAAATCTCAATTTGAATTGTATCTCCCAGAATTCCCACATGTTGTGGGAGAGACCCGGGGGAGGTAATTGAATCATGGGGGCCAGTCTTTCCCATGCTATTCTCATGATAATGGATAAGTCTCATGAGATCTGATGGGTTTATCAGGGGTTTCTGCTTTTGTTTCTTCCTCATTTTTCTCTTGCTGCCACCATGTAAGAAGTGTCTTTCACCTCCCACCATGATTCTGAGGGCTCCTTAGCCATGTGGAACTGTAAATCCAATTAAACCTCTTTTTCTTCCCAGTCTCAGGTATGTCCTTATCAGCAACATGAAAACGGACTAATACACCACTTTATTGTTACATAGTAACCTCTTTGTCTCTTCTTATAGTTTTTGATTAAAATCTATTTCATCTGATACAAATATAGTGACTCCTGCTCTTTTTTGGTTTCCATTGGCATGAAATATCTTTTTCTGTCCCTTTATTTTCAGCCTATGTGTGTCTTTATAGGTGAAGTGTGTTTCTTATAGGCAGCAGATCAATAGATCTTTTTTTTTATTCATTCAGCCAGTCTATGTCTTTCGATTGGAGAGTTTAGTCCATTTACATTCAATGTTGTCATTAAGAAGTGAATACTTACTCCTGCTATTTTGTTATTTGTTTCCTAGTTGTTTTGTGGTCATTTCTTCCTTCTTTCTTTCCTTCCTGTCTTCCTCTAGTGAAGGTGATTTTCTCTGGTGATAAGACTTAGTTTCTTGCTTTTTATTTTTTGTGCATCCATTGCATGTTTTTTTGGTTTGAGATTACCATGAAGGTCACAAATACTATTTTTTTTTTTTTTTTTGAGGTGGAGTCTCACTCTGTCACCCAGGCTGGAGTGCAGTGGCTCAATCTTGGCTCACTGCAACCTCTGCCTCCTGGGTTCAAGCGATTCTCCTGCCTCAGCCTCCCGAGTAGCTGGAACTACAGGCATATGCCACCACACCTGGCTAATTTTTTGTATTTTTAGCAGAGACGAGGTTTCACCGTGTTAGCCGGGATGGTCTTAATCTCCTGACCTTGTGATCTGCCTGCCTTGGCCTCCCAAAGTGCTGGGATTACAGGCATGAGCCACTGTGCCCGGCCAACAAATACTATCTTATAACCCATTATTTTAATGTGATAACAACTTAACACTATTTGTATACACAAATAAGCAAAAAGAAAACTAATACGAACTCTATGCCTTAACTTCATCCACCTGCTTTTTAACAGTTTTTTTGTCTCTATTTATACCTTGTATTGACTATGTCTTGAAGAGTTATTGTAGTTGTTATTTTTTATTGATTTCTTTAGTCTTTAGTTCATCATTTAGTCTTTCTACTTAGGATAAGGGTAGTTTACACACCACAGTTACAGTGTTATAATATTCTGTGTTTCTGTGTACTTACTATTATCCATGGGTTTGGTACCTTCAGGTGATTACTTATTGCTTTTTAACTTCCTTTTCTTTTGGATTGAAGTACTCCCTTTAGCATTTCTTGTAGGAGAAGTCTGGTATTGATGAAATTCCTCAGCTTTTGTTTGTCTGGGAAAGTCTTTATTCTTCATGTTTGAAGGACATTTTCACTGGATAATACTATTCTAGGCTGAAAGTTTTCTTCCTTCATCACGTTAAATATGTCATGCCTCTTTCTCCTGGCCTCTAAGGTTTCCACTTAAAAGCCTGCTGCCATATGTATTGGAGCTCCATTGTATGTTATTTCTTTCTTTTATCCTGCTGCTTTTAGAATCTTGTTTTGTCTCCTCTATGTGTTTTCAATTAGCCTGTCTTCAAGCTCACTAATTCTTTCTTCTGCTTGTTCAATTCTGCCATTAAAGGACTTTAATGTATTCTTTAGTAGTTTGCATTTTTCAACTCCAGAATTTCTGCTTGGTTCTTTTTAATTATTTCAATCTCTTTGTTAAATTTATCTGATAGAATTCTGAATTCCTTCTTGGTGTTATCTTGAATTTCTTTGAGTTTCTTCAACATAGCTATTTTGAATTCTCTGTCTGAAAGGTCACATATATGTTTCTCCAGGATTGGTCCTAGTGCCTTATTTGGTTAGGTCACATTTTCCTGGATGGCATCGATGCTAGTAGATGTTCTTCAAAGTCTTGCATTGAATGATTAGGTATTTATTGTAGTCTTCACTGTCTAAGCTTATTTGTAGCCATCCTTCTTGCGAAGGCTTTTCAGATATTTGAAAGGACTTGGGTTTTGTGATCTAAGCTGTATCTGCTTTAGTGGGCAACCCAAGCCCAGTAATGCTGTGGTTCTTGCAGTATTGCAGAGGTACCATCTTGCTAATCTTGAACAAGATCTAGGAGAATTTTCTGGCTAGAGAAAATTCTAGAAAAGGGAACAAGGCAGAGACCCTTGTTCCCTTCCCTTACTTTATCTCAAACATACAGAGTCTCTCTCTCTGTTCTGAGCCACCTAAAGATTTGGACGGAGTGACACAAGCACCCCTGTGGCCACCACCACTATGACTGCACCGGGTCAAACCTGAAGCCAGAACAGAGCTGGTTCTTGCCCAAGGCCCACTGTAACTTTTCCCTGGCTACTTCTTATGTTTACTCAAGGCCCTGGGGCTCTACAATCAGCAGGTGGTAAAGCCAGTCAGGCCTGTGTCCTTCTCTTCAGAGCAGCAAGGTCCCCCAAGCCCCAGGTGGGTTCAGAAGTGCCACCTGGGAGTCAGGGACTAGAGTCAAAAACCTTAGAAGTCTACATGGTGTTCTGTTGCATTCAGCTGAGCTGGCACTCAAACCACACAATGCATTTCTTCCCACTCTTCCCTCCCCTTTCCAAAGGAAGAGGAGCCTCACCATAGCTACTGCCACCCCAGGCCATGAAGAATACTGCCAGACTACCACGGTGTTCTGTTAAGGCCCAAGGTATTTTAAGCAAGCTTGTGGTGAATGCTGCCTGGCCAGGGACTCATCTTTCAGGGCAGTGGGTACCGCTCTGGCCCAGGGCAGGTCCAGAAATGTCATCCAAGAGTCAAGTCCTGGGATTGAGGACCCCAAGAGCCTGCTTGGTGCTCTACACAACTGTGACCATACTAGTATCTAAGATGTAAGACAAAGTCTTCTTTACTTTTCCCTCTGCTTTTCTCAAGTGGAAGGAGTTTGGTCACATAGCCACCATAGCTGGTTATGTCCTGAGTCTCACCTGAAGTCATCAAATCTCAGAAGTTCACCCAAGGCCCTGGATGTAGTACCTAGATATTGCTGCTGGTTTTTTAGGGCACAAGGGCTCTTTGATTAGCAAGTGATTAATGGTAGCAGTACTGGGTCCTTTCCTTCAAGGCTGCCAGTTATCTTCTGGCCCAGAGCATATCTAGAAAAGTTGTCTGGGAACCAGGGCCTGGAATAGGGGCCTCACAATTCTGACCAGTGCCCTATCCTGCTGTGGCTGGGCTGGGATCCTAGATGCAAGACAAAGTTCTCCCTACTCTTCCCTCTGTTCTCCTCAAACAGAAGACAGGGGTTCTCTTTGAAGCCACAAGCTGTGCAGCCTGGGGTTAGGGGAAGGGTGATGCCAGTACTTCCTTAGCTGACCCGGCCGGTGTCTCAGTATGTCACGTGTCCCCCTAGTCCACTGTCTCTGGGCCTAATTCAGCCCCAGGACTCACCTACAAGTTGCAATCCTTATCGCCTAGACTGCCTTTCAAGTTTACTTGGAGACACACGGTGCTGTAGCCCGTGGTGGTGAGGTTTGCAGGAACTCAAGTTTAGATCACTGGGTCCCTCCCTTTGCAGGCAGGTCAGTTGAGTTTGGTCTGGGTTTCCTTTCTGCTCTAATAGAACAGCACTTTCAATGCTTCACAGTTGGTGTGTTCTCCCTCCCCCAGTACCCAGAGATGCCCACTGCTGCTGCCAGGGGTAAGGGAGGGGTGGTGTCTGCGATTCAGGGCTTTTTTTTTTTTTTAACCTCTTCAGTGCTTCTTTCAGCAATATGAATTTAAAACCAGGTACTATGAGTGGTCACTTGATTTTTCATTCTTATGAAGGTGTTTTGTCTGTGTAGACAGCTTGGTGTGCTAGCATTGAGGGACAATCAGTGGAGTTTTCTATTGTGCCATCTTGCTCCACCCTTCTGAAATTATTTTCTTAATTTAGTTTTGGATTATTCATTGCTATGAGTAGAAACAAAACTAATCTTTTTTTTTAACATAGCGAACAGCATGTTGACAAAACTAAGTTTTAAGTGCTAGTTATATACTCAATACTTTCCTGAATTTATTAGCTCTAATAGTTTGTGTGTGTATATCTTTTAAGATTTCCTATCTATAGGATCATATGATCTGCAAATAGTTTTACTCCTTCCTTTATAATTTGGATCTGTTTTATTCGTTTGTTTTTTTCTTGCATAATTGTTCTAGCCAGAACTTTCAGTACTGAATAGAAGGGACAAAAGCAGGCATCGTGTATTTTTCCTATACTTAGGGGAAAGCTTTTATTCATTCTTCATGGAGTATGATGTAGCTATGTGTTTTCCCTAAATGCCGTTTATCATGTGTTGTAGGTGAGTGATGACTATCTGGGTTGGTGGTGTAGAGATAAAAGAATTTACCAAGACAATTGTAGGTAAAGAAAGGCAGATTTATTAAAGAAAGTATGAAAACATGTTGTGAGGAGGCAATGTGCAAGCCAGCAGAAGAGGAGCTGACTGCAAAGAAACAAAGGCTTGCTGGAGATTTTATAGGATGGAACTTGGAAACTTGCATTCTTCTGTCAGCCAGGATGTTTGATAAATTGAGGCATTTTATGGCAAGCAGGAAGTTTGTAAGTTATGTATTTTATTTGTTCAGGAGGGCTATATGTCTTGGGCCATAAAGAAAAACAGACCTATAATTCATTTAATTCCTCTTTTGTTTATATAACTATGAAGAAAGCCATATTTATAGTTTATTTGTTCTATCTTTTTGCTTTCCCTTGGTCCTGCCAGCCTGACTCCTTTTCTCTAATTAGGTCTCTACATCATGTTAAGTAAGTTCCATTCTATTTCTAATTTGTTGAGTATTCTTGTCATTCTTGTGATTGTCAAATACTTTGCATAAATCAAGATGGTCATTCATTTTCACCTTCATCTTGTTACGGTGGTGTATTACATTGAATAATGTCCATAAGGTGAGCCACCCTTGTATTCCTGTGATATATTCAACTTAATCATAGTGTATAGCCTTTTTGGTATGTTACTTGATTTGGTTTACTAGTATACATTGACTATTTTTGCATATGTTTTCATAGGGAATGTTGGTTTGTGGTTTTCTTGTCTTGAGGTGTCTTTGTCTGGCTTTCATATCAGGGTAATGTTGGCCTCAAAAAATCGGTTAGAAAGTGTTTTCTCCCCTTCTATCTCTTGAAGAGTTTGAAAGGGATTGGTGTTCATTCTTCTGCAAATGTTAGGCAGAAATCACCAATGAGACCATCTGGTCTTGGGCTTTTCTTTGTCGGGAGGCTTCTGATTACTGATTCTGTCTTTTTAGAAGAAGTAAAGTGTTTAGAAGGTGTAAACATATCCACTTTTACAGATATGTTCAGATTTTCCATTTCTTCTTGAGTCAGATTTCAGGGTTTGTGTGTTTCTTGCCCATTTCATCCAGGTTTTCTAATGTGTTGGTATACAATTGTCCATAGTATTCTCTTTTAATCCATTTTCTTTTTGTGTGTCCAGGAAAATGCCTTCATTTAACTTCTTATTTTAGTAACTTGAGTCTTCTCTCTTTTTAAAATTGGTCCAGCTTTAAAAGTTTGTCAATTTTGTTGATCTTTTCAAAGAGCCAACTTTTGTTTCCATTAACTCCCTCAATTGCTTTTCTATTCTCTATTTTATTTATCACTAATCTAATCTTAATTATTTCCTTCCTTCTGTTAGGTTTGCTTTAGTTTGTTCTTTTTTTAGTTCTTTAAGTTACATTATAAGTTATATTATTAACTTGAGATCCATCTTCATTTTTTAATGTATGGGTTTACAGCTATAATTTCCCTCTGAGTACTGCATTAACTGCACCCTATAAGTTTTATTAGTTTGTATTTTTATTTTCATTCATCTCTAAGTATTTTCTAATTTATCTTGCGATTTCTTGTTTAACATATTGGTTGTTGTAAAATGTGCTGTTTAATTTTTATGTATTTGCAAATTTTCCAATTTCTTTCTATTTTTTACTTCTAATTTCATTCCTTGTGGTCAGATAAAATACTTTGTATGATTTTAATCCTTTAAAAATTTATTAAAATTATTTTGTGACTTAACATATGGTCTGTCCTGGGGAATGTTCTATGTGCTTTGATAAAAATGTATATTATGTTGTTTTGGGGTAGAGCGTTCTGTATACATCTTTTATGTTCAATTGATTTATAGTGTTTTCATGTCCACTATTTTTGTATAAGATCTTACTGATCTTTTTTTAAAAAATTTTTTTGGGCCGGGCACGGTGGCTCACGCCTGTAATGTCAGCACTTTGGGAGGCCAAGGCATGTGAATCATGAGGCCGGGAGATCAAGACCATCCTGACTAACACAGTGAAACCCCATCTCTACTAAAAATGCAAAAAATTAGCCAGGCATGGTGGTGGGCGCCTGTAGTCCCAGCTACTTGGGAGGCTGAGGCAGGAGAATGGTGTGAACCTGGGAGGCAGAGCTTGCAGTGAGCCAATATCACACCACTGCACTCCAGCCTGGGCGACAGAGTGAGACTGCATCTCAAAAAAAAAAATATTTTGTTTTTCCATAAGTTATTGGAGTACAGGTGGTATTTAGTTATATCAGTAAGTTCTTTAGTGGTGATTTGTGAGATTTTGGAGCACTCATAACCCAAGCAGTATATGCTGTACCCTATTTGTAGTCTTTTATCCCTCACTCCCCTCACACCCTTCCCCCCAAGTCCCCAAAGTCCATTGTATCATTCTTATGCCTTTGCGTCTTCATAGCTTAGCTCTCACATATCAGTGAGAACATATGATGTTTGGTTTTCCATTCCTGAGTTACATCACTTAGAATAATAGTCTCCAATCACATCCAGGTCACTGCAAATGCCATTAATTCATTCCTTTTTATGGCTGAGTAGTATTCCATCATATATATATATATATATATATATATATATATATATATATATATATACACACACACACACACACACACACACACACACACAGTTTCTTTTTCCACTCATTGACGGGCATTTGGGTTAGTTCCATGATTTCACAATTGCAAATTGTACTGTTACAAACATGCATGTGCAAGTATCTTTTTCATATAATGACTTCAATTCCTCTGGATAGATACCCAGTAGTGTGATTGCTGGATTAAATGGTAGTTCTACTTTTAGTTCTTTAAGGAATCTCCACGGTGTTTTCCATAGTGGCTGTGCTAGTTTACATTCCCACCAGCAGTGTGGAAGTGTTCCCTGATCACCACATCCATGCCAACATCTACTGTTTTTTAATTTTTTTTTTTTTTGAGACGAAGTCTCGCTCTTGTCCCCCAGGCTGTAGTGCAATAGCACGATCTCGGCTCACCGCAACCTTGGCCTCCCAGGTTCATATGATTCTCCTCCCTCAGCCTCCCGAGTAGCTGGGATTACAGGCACCTGCCACCACGCCAGGCTAATTTTTGTATTTGCAGTAGAGACAGGGTTTCACCATGTTGGCCAGGCTGGTCTCAAACTCCCGACCTCAGGTGATCTGCCTCGGCCTCCCAAAGTGCTGGGATTACAGGCATAAGCCACCATGCCTGGCCATTTTTTAATATTTTGATTATGGCCATTCTTGCAGGAGTAAGGTGGTATCACATTGTGGTTTTGATTTGCATTTCCCTGATCATTAGTGATGCTGAGCATTTTTTCATGTATGTTCATTGACCATTTGTATATCTTCTTTTGAGAATTGTCTATTCATGTCCTTTGCCCACTTTTTGATGGGATTTTTTTTTCTTACTGGTTTGTTTGAGTTTGTTGTAGATTCCGGATATTAGTCCTTTGTCAGATGTATAGATTGTGAAGATTTTCTCCCACTCTGTGGGTTGTCTGTTTACCCTGCTGACTGTTCCTTTTGCCATGCAAAAGCCCTTTAGTTTAATTAAGTCCCAACTATTTATCTTATTTAAAAAAGTTAACTGTAAAACAGCCTCAGGTAGGTCCTTCAGAAGGTATTGCAGAAGAAGCCATTGTTATCCTAGAAATGTGATTTTGGTCAAGTTACTTTACCCCACTGAGTTTCAGTTTTTTCACCTATAAAATTGGAGTAACAATGGAACTACAGAATAAGAATGTAGTTCTGAAATTTAAATGAGACACCTTGTAGAAAGCAAATGGTGGTTGCCTGGCATGGGCATTACATAAGCTGGCCAATAATGTAGGAAGGTAAGGCCTCAGTGCAAGCTTGTAAAGACATGAAAAATACAATGCAGGGAACAGGGTAGGTTTTTTAGTACAATTTAGAGTAGTTAGATTAAGCAGGAAACTTACCAAGTTACTGTAAAACTGACAATTAAATAATAATAGCTGTTAACTAAGTTTAGAAAGCCAGCCTCTTCTAAGTAATTACTCAGGTTTTCCTTTTAGAAACTGGTTCCTTTTAGAAACTGGGTCACCATTATTTAACAAAAGGCAAACAGCGTAAGAAATCTTCCTTCTTATATGTCTTTTTCTAAATTATGGAAAGGCTTATTGAAAGTGATTCACAGGCCAGGCGCGGTGGCTCATGCCTGTAATCCCAGCATTTTGGAAGGCCAAGGCGGGTGGATCACCTGAGGTCAGGAGTTCGAGACCAGCCTGACCAAGACTGTGAAACGCTGTCTCTACTAAAAATACAAAAATTAGCCAGGTGTAGTGGAGCATGTTTGTAATCCCAGCTACTCAGGAGGCTGAGACAGGAGAATCGCTTGAACCTGGGAGGCAAAGGTCACAGTGAGCTGAGATTGCACCATTGCACTCCAGCCTGGGAGACAGACTGAGTCTCCATCTCAAAAAAATAAAAAAAAAGAAAAGAAAAGAAAGTGATTCACTGTGTAGTTTAAAGTTTAAAAGTTTAACCCTTAGAACATGCTTTAAAACACAGAGAAAAGAAATAAAATTATGAAATGAAATGGTATAAATTATAAAGTACCTTTTGAAATCCTTAATGCCGTAATTAAAGAGAAAACATTTTCTTTATGTACAATCTTTTCAAAATATGTAATTAGCAAATTAATACTGCCTCATCTATCTTGGGCTTGTAATTGAGACATCTGACAATTATATCCCCAAAAAATTTATACACTACCAATTCTATGATTATTGCCTTTGAAAATTAACCACTTTTTCTATGAATCACACATACACAGCTTCCAAGTGGAACATTGGTTTATAGTCAGCAAGACAACATCCAGTCCTGGATCTGCCACTTACTGGCTGTGGAGTCTGGCAAGTGACAACTTCTTTCATCTTGACTGCTTCAATTAGTAAAATGTAATCAAGTTCATTATGTCACTAAAATGAGATAATACAGAGCTTGATAAATAGTACTCAGCAAATACTAACTTGAAAATAAAATGATAACTTCTCTTTTATCCTTTCCTTGTTCAGATCAATCCAAAGGCCACTAAGTGGCAAGAGAAATGAATATGGCAAGGATAGGGGGAATCCTGTGGTTACCCAAATCAGAGTGCTAAAGCCCAGGCAAGGTGAGGATGCTGGACTAGTTAGGGGTAATGGAGCTCAAGTAGAGCAAGAAGAACATCAACGAGAGGAGAAGCCTGGTGTGGGATATTGAAGCCCAAGCAGGTAGGGAAAGCATTGCACAGGGAGTGTGGGATGCAGCAGCAATGACAGACTGGTGACATACAGAAGGCTTGATCAAAAATATATCAAGACTTCTCACTATTGGAGAAGGAAGTTTCAAATATAGAAGGAGAGAAAACATGAATGAGCCCTGTGCTGTTAGATTGGAATTGGAGATATCAAAGTGAACCCATGGTTTTCAATAGGGATATAGAAGTATAGGTGTAAAAATGTGCTTATGTATGTATATAAGTATATATATATATTAACTAGCTCTGTCCATTGAAAACAGGAAGTAACAAGCCCTCAGTAACAATGAGCACACCTGGTTCTGACATCTTTTCTGAAGACCATACTCCAAAACAGGATCCAAGTCTCCTTGGAGAAATGGCTGATCCCAAGTCTAGGGCAGGGAAACTATAAGATGAGCCTGGGACATCTTTGCCAGGAAGTAAAGAAGCACTGAAAGACTTATGAGAACATATCAAAAAGACTCTTGAAAGAGTTCTCACTTGGGGCGGTCTGACCCGCAGACCCTGAGCCAGCCATGGATGAATGAAGTACACTGACACACAGATATTCTGCTTTGCCAGTCCAGCTGAGTGTCCAAGCCACTTACAGACTCCCTGGAGAGTACTGTAAACAGTTGTGACTGTGGCCCTGACCAGCTAGTGAGACTCACATTTATTTGGGGAAGATTAATTGACAAAGGCTTGAGTCAACACCACTAGAGGGTAATTGACACTGTGGAATTCCCAAGTAGAAAGCAATTAAGCACCTGCCGTACATCAAAGGTTAGTCTTAAGACCACATGAGTAAACAAGCTAGCTAGATAACTTCCCCACATTCCTTAGTTACTACTTTAACTTATTTAACTAAAGGTAAAGGGACCAGGCCGCCTTCAGCCAGATCTATTACTGATGTTATACAAACTCTCAGGCCTTCCAAGAGAGTTTGTGGCTATTACTATAACTATCTTTAATATTTTTCCCACCAGCCTTATTGAACCCCCACACTGAGCATCAAACTAAATAATGAAAGCAACTGGTTTTAACCTACTGAATAAAATAGGAACCCATGAGTCCACACTGAAATAAATAAATGAATGGACAAATTGAAAGTCTGATGAGGAACAGGATATTTGCATAGTCTCAAAGTACCACCTTACAAAATATTTATTAATTACAAAGGGAAGAAAGAGTAACTTTACAGTGGAGAAGTCTAGCAGACACCAATCAGTGACCAAAGTTAACATCACCAGTAATGAGGTGAATCAAAATTGTCACCATTGCTATGATATTCCTATCAAAGATGCAAACCTAAATCTATTCATAAGAAAACATTAGGTGAACTCAAATTGAGAGCTATTCTACAAAATAATTGGCCTGTAATCTTCAAAAGTGTTAAGGTCATAAAGGCCAAGAAAGACTAGGGAACTGTTCCACATTGAAGAAAACCAAACAGATATGACAACAAAATGAAACACATGACGCTGAACTGGATCCCTTTGCTATGAAGGACATCATTGAGAAAATTGAGGAAACTTGAAAGAATTTGAGGATTATATGGTAGTAACCTATCACTGTTAATTTGCTGACTTTGATGGTAATATGGTTATGTAGAAGAATGTTTGTAGGAAACATTCTTGTTTGTAGTGGAATACATAGAAGTAGTCAGGTAAGTTGAATGAGCATGTTAGCAACTACACTCAAAAAATTTCAAAAGAAAGTTCTTTTACTGTACTTGTAACTTTTTACAAGTTTGAGATTGTCTTTAAATACAAAGTAAATGGAAAGCATACAAATGAAAGAGAAAAAATACCAAATCCACTCTGAAAGAAGGAAAAGCCATGTGAGATTGTTCACATAGGAAAAGGATGATACAATGAAATGAAAGAAAGAATAAATTTTGTAAATCTCGATATTCTCTTAGAAGATAATCAAAACAAACATTGTTTTAGAAATGTATGCCTTCTGAGATTCAAATAATCATTTTCACTGTTAGTATGAATCATAACTTCATTTAATGCAGGAGTACTTTAAATTTCTTTCCACCATCAGTCAAAATTTCTCCTAAATAAAGGACATGCTGGGGTTATTGTAGAAAAATAGTCTAGCATATCTACGGCTACCCTGCTTCAGCTCATGACGACTAAATAATTGAAAACTGTTCTGTATCACAGAAGGAAAAAAAAGTCTTTTCTACCATGAAAATTAAGAGGCCATTTGTTAAAAGAAAGGCTCTAAACATTAGAGCAGGAGCATCCCGATGATTTGTTTTTAATGAATGAGTAAGGAGTTATGAGCTCCTGGGCAATTGAACCTCTTACATATGCCTGACATTTTCAAATTAAACAAGTGCTGATCATTATCATAGAGGCATGGGCCTTTGAGAAAATTAAGAAGTTTATAAGAATTATATTAAAAATATCTAACAGGGTAAGGAATGAACATTATCACTTGAAGCGAAGAGATATTATCACCATCAAGAATTTAAAAAAAAAGAATAAGAATAGAGAAGAATAAAGAAAAAAAGAACTCAGAGTCAAGTAGATTCAATGGAGTAAATGGAGAAACATCTCAGGATAATCAGAAAATTAAGACAAAACTTACCTGGTCTGAGGCAACATAAAATATGAAAGGCCTCATAAGTTTATTTTATACTAATCCCACCTATATGCTTGGGAAATGTATGTGTTCCTGCCAATACCTGGAAGACATGCAATGATTCCTGGCTGTAAACCAAGGAGAAGAAAAATGACATCAAAGTTACAGTCTCCATCAGTAAGCTTGAATTGTTTACTAATAATCAGAGGCACTAAAGAGTTCGGAAAGGTCTGGGACATGTCATAGAGGGAAAAAAGTTGTACTGCTCTACATCTTCTCCCTAAAATGGAAAGAGTAGAACACTGTGGGAGCTCCTGTAGGTGGGAACAAAAATCAGAAAATGAGGCAATACTTTCATTTCTACAACCCTCTTGACACTTCCAGTCCCAGTTCACTGGTCCAATTGTACAGAAACATACTTGAGGGAGATTCTTAATTAGAACATTTTTCTTGAAAAATTTTTGATAGAGAACATTTTGAAATTTATTTTTATTGCTTTCCCCCACTTGATCTTGACTGATTAGATCAAACATACATTAGCTCTGTCAGTGTCCAGGTTTTAGCCCTAACTGGAGAGAGAGAAGGCAGGGAACTTTCTTCGTTTAACAAAGTAAATACCGCCACAAGAAAAAGTGTTTCCTGAAGAAAGAGATTAACAAAATTGCTTTTACAAAGTAGACTTGTTAAGGGCTGCATGGCTGTGTGTTTATTTGGTGCTTTTCCTGGCCTTTTCACCAAACTTTGGGGATCTGGCTCTGAAGTTTGTGCTTCCCACCATCCATGGTCCACCCCCTCTTCTGGAATGTTTTCAACTGGACACCTAAGAATTCATGTAAGGAGAATTGTTTCTCCTGCTCTTTCTCCCGACAGAAATTACTGACCTCGCTGGTTTTCTATCAAAAGAAAAAATTATTTCACGTGAATCTAGTAGTTGGGTAACATTTCTGTAAGATTATATAAACAAAATAATGGTTTTGCAGGTGCTAAGAATTCTGAGAAGCAATGAGAAGATTTCTCATATACCTCAACATATTCCAAGAATGAGATGTTCTTCCATGATTTGATGACCAAGAAATCGTGTTTTCTATAGTTTGAAGTAGAAGTTTTAAAATATATTTTGAGGCATTTTCACTTTTCGCTTCTAATGTTAATCTATTTTAACCTTATGTATTAAGATTCACCAGAGAAACAGAACCAGTGGTATATCCTCTTGGTTCTTCAATAAATCTCCATATTTATTAAGTGAAAGAAAAAGAGAGAGACAGAGACAGAGATTAATTATGGGAATTAGCTCATGTGATTACAGAGGCTGAGAAGCTCTGCAACCTGCTATCTGCAAGTTGGAGAATTTGGAAAGCCAGTGGGTAATTTAGCCCAAGTGTGAAGATCAGAGAACCAGAAATTCTGTCATCCAAGGATGGGAGAAGATGGATGTGCCAGCTCAAGAAAAGAGAACAAATTTGCCTTTCCTCCACCTTTTTCTTCTATTCGAGTCCTCACTGGGTTGGTTGATGGACTCTCTAACCACCACATTGGTGAGAGTAATCTACTTTACTCAGCCTACCAATTCAAATACTAACCTCTTCTGGAAACATCTTCACAGATACATCCAGAAATAATGTTTTACCAGCTATCTGGGCATCCTTCAGCCCAGTCAAGTTAACACATAAAATTAATCAGCACATACCACCTCTTCTGTTCAAATTTTCATTACCCAATTTTAGGGAGAAAATTGCTCTGGTACCCAGCTAAACTCTGACTTCATAGAAATATTTCGGCCAGGTGCAGTGATTGAGTCTGCCATTTTGTTTGCTATTGTGTTAATTCTTGTCTGTTTTTTCAGGTGTCCTAAGCTTCTATTTTATATGTAGCTTTGGATACCTCAGCTCTGTCTGATCATTAAAGCTGCTTTTGTCACATTCGGCCTTTCAGAATAAAATAGAGCCTCTCAGAGGGCAGAGCTACTTCCTACCCTCTCCCTAAGTTTAGAGATCCCTTTAGATTGACAGGAATCCATAGCCCTTGCCAAAAAGAAATATTTTTTTTCAGAATGCATAGCCTATTTTCTCCAAACAATTGCTTTCCTTGTACTGCAGCACTCTAAGTGAAAGAGTCCCCTTTTCAGAATTTAAAAAGCTTGACTAAAGTTAAAAGGATGTATTCCTCCATTATTCCATACAGCTAAGCTTTGGTAAGCATCAGTGAAAAACTCCGACTCTTAGAAGTTTTCTCGGGCTCTTTCCTGGGTGACTTTTTCTTCTTTTCCACTATCTCATTTTCTTCCCAATGTGATGACTGAGTTCTGAGTGTCTCCATACTTAAGCTACTGGTTTTTATTGAGGTTTTTCCATCACCCTAACATCCTAACTTAATGTTTCTGAAGAGAATATTACCAAAACATTGCATTTTATCCAAAAACATTCTCTGAGAGGCTGTTTCTGAGGTAAAATATTTAATTAAAATATGTATTTCATCACACACACACACACACACACACGCACGCACACACACACAAAGCGATCTGAGTAAAATATGAGAAGACAAAGTAACTCCCTGAAATTAAAACATATTTAGGGATATCATTTATTTTTCTCCTCAGTCCATACTCTGCCTGGGTACAGTGTCCTTCCTATTCCATCTCCTTAGCTCACATTCTGGTTATTCACCTTCCTGGTCTCTGTTTTTTGCCTTTTTTCCTCACTCCCCCCACCCCTCTTTCTAATGGCTACCATGTCATCTCCCCTTACCCAATAATGTTTATTCTTTCAAATAACTTTTTTTTTTTTTTTTTGAGACAGAGTCGCCCTCTGTCGCCCAGGCTAGAGTGTAGTGGCGCCATCTTGGCTCACTGCAACCTCCGCCTCTCGGGTTCCAGTGATTCTCCTGCCTCCCAGCCTCTCGAGTAGCTGGGATTACAGGCATCCACCACCACACCTGGCTAATTATTCTTTAGAATTCTTAACCCATTCATGCAACTGTGAAAAAACTCTCTCATTCCCCTATCAGCTTACCCTGTGTATTAGCTTCCTGTGGCCGCTGTAACAAATGACCACAAACTTGGTGGCTTAAAACAACAGAAATTTATACTCACGCAGTTGGATGCCAGGAGTCCAAAATCAGAGTGTTAGCAGGGCCACACTCCTCTGGAGGCCAGGGGATGATGTACTTCTTACCTCTTCCGTCTTCTGGTGGCTACAAACTTGCCTTGATTTGTGGCACATCACTCCAGTCTCTGTCTCCATGGTTACATTGCCTCTTTCTCATCTCTGTGTGTCAGTCCTTCGTGTGTCTTTTATAAGGACTCTTGTCACTGGGTTAGAACCCACTCAGATAATCCAGGATCACCTCCCCATCTGGAGATCCTTAACTTAATGACATCTACAAAGACCCCCTTTTTTTTTCAAAGTAACATTCACAGGTTCTGCGATTTAGGAAGTGGACATAATTTTGGGGGGGCCACTATTCAATCCATTACTCCGAGACAGTATAGTTCTCCGTTTAGAAAGTGATAAGCTCCTTGCAACAAAATGGAAAGATGTGGTTCACTTAGCTTAACTTCCCATAAATTCAAAATAATTTAGTACTAAGTGTGGAAAAGAAAAACTAAAGAGCAATCAATTCCCCTTATGCCCAGAGATTCCATAAATCATTCTTTGACCAAGTGCCACTCAATTCCTAGAACACAAAATATCTTCATTTTTAGAGTAGGTATCAATTCTTTATTATACATGACCCAAACAATTGCTATGTAGAATGAGACAACAGCATTCATACTGAACTTTTCCTAACAACAACAACAACAACAACAAGTAACTATGTTTTCTGAGGTGCAAATCTTGATTGAAGGTAAATAGAAGCATAAAGGGCTCCAATAGTAGAAATTCTAAAGGCACTCATAACTATTTTAAAATTCAGAGGCCAGGCATGGTGGTTCGCATCTGTAATCCCAGCACTTTGGGAGGCCAAGATGGGAGGATTGCTTGAGACCAGGAGTTCAAGACCAGCCTGGTCAACACAGTGAGACCCCATCTCTATAAAAAGAACATATATATATATAAAATAAAGAATGTACTTATATCATTATTATGAAATTTGTTGTTGAAATGAAAAATTACTAAAACTGTTTTCATGACATATCTATGATTTTTCTCTCCATTGCCCTGTGTCTTCATTGACACTGAATTTCAATCACTGCTAAACTCTTATTGTACAGTAATATTATCATCTGTTTTTTTCATTAATATGCTAAGACACAATCTGAGAAGAAAGACTGCTCACTAAAGTAAAACAACTTTAAGAAAAAATATAAATACAAGGGTAATTAAGTTATTTGAATTAGAATTCTATGCTATTTCCTAATTTTTCCTCAGACTTATAACTGTCTCTTACCCTCCCCAACTCCAATCCTCTTTGTCCTTTCCACTTTCCTTTTATTGCCTTCCGAATTTTTCCCCAAGACGTTTGGTTGAAACCCATATAGCGAAACCAATCAAGCCAATGTGCCCCACCCATATATAATTTTTTACGGTAGTGCTAATGATCTTCCTTTGTTTTTAGGTAACATTTAAGCACTGAGTACTTATTACAGGCTCTCTGTAAGTGTTCTAGATTCAGCACCTTGTTTAAACCCCTCAGCGGCACTGTGGAGGCAAATATGATCCCCTTTTTTACAAACAAGGGCAATGAAACTCTTAAATGTTACTTTCTAAAGGGAACACGCTGGTGGAGCCAGATGGGAATTTGGTCTGCTTGACTCTAAAATTAAATGATTCTCTCTATAACTATTGCTGTCCAGCTTTAAAAGTAGATACAATAATTTTTGTAATTTTTAAAAATGATGTTATAGACCTGCTAAAACAGAAACATTTTTCCTACCATGTAAATCTTTATGGGAATTGAAGAGCCTTTCATTTGCTTTAATTAAATACCTTGTGTGATTGGAACAATTTCAAAGTTGCATTAATGCAACTTGGCCTTAAAAATTTCAAAGGAAATATTATCATTGTCATTTCATTTCACAGTCTCAGTTCCATTCTCTCTCTTTAGCAAGAATTATATAAGGGCCTAATTAAAGTTTTAGCTTACTGAAAGATTTTTAATGTTTTTTGCACCCTTAAAACTTTAGAAAGCAATTTCTGTGAGGAATTAATACTTAAAAATTGAATACTTTGTGTTTTATTAAATAATTGTGGATTCATTAAGAAACATTTTCTAAAAGGAACTTAGTATAGAAGAGATACAAGTTTTATACTTGTTCTAAGGCTGATCCTACAGGATAACAGTAAGGAAATTGCTAATCTCATTACTTCAGTGATTTTTAAAATCCCACATCATTAGGGGCATAGACCATTGGTGTTTTTACATTATTGGCCATCTTATAATTACTACTATTGAGAGCCTCTTCTAAGTCAGACATTAACCAACTACCTTACTTATATTACCTCATTTAATTCTCCCCATGCTCTAGTAGTTATCATCACCATTTTACAGATGTAGAAACTGAAGCTCATTATTGTTAATAATAGATCACATTTTGCTATATTTTACCTTTTCACTTTGCATTCATCACCCCATGTAATAATCATAACAATCCTTTGAAGTAGGTATAATTATTTTCACTCGTATTTTACAGAAGAGGAAATTGAGGCTCAAAGAGTTTATGTTATTTGCTCACGATCACAAAGCTAAGAAATAGTGAAGGTCCTCGCTCTTAGTCTCTGGTTATAGTGTTCCTGGAAAGGGAAGGAGGATGACAGCCAACCTGTAATGCAAAGTATGACTTCTTCCCCACCCCCAGAGAAGATAGGGGCGGAGGTGAGGTAAGTCATGATTAGCGACCTTCAAAATGTTCAGACATTTCCCAAGAAAAAGGAAGTTGATCTCTTCAGTGTGGCCTCAAGAGGGCAGAACTAGCATCCCTGAATCCTTAATCCCACTCTCACCGAGGGAGGAATTCTAACAAAACAGCTAATAAGGGGTGGCTTCAGCAAGACGTGAACCTCCTTTTCACTGGCACGTGGCTCTCAGACTTTAACCTGTTTGTTGAGCACTTACGGATTGTTTTTGCAAAGCAGATACTGAAGAACCAGTTCCAGAGATTCTCGGTCAGTACGTCTGAAGCAGGGCCCTGGAAGCTGCATTTGTAAGCAAATGCTCCTGTGTGAATCTGACACAAGCAGTCCAGGATCACACAGGAGAAATACTGAAAAGGCAACAACTGGCAACCTGTATTATACGGGATGTTGGACTGCATGAGCCCTGTGTTATCGCTACAGTCTCTGAAGCCAGAACTGGGAACATAAAATCTTGATCTGCTAGGAATGTTGTAGGACTGACTCTCACAACTTCGGCAGGCTAACCACTCCATTTGAAAAAAAAGTTATATCGCCATCTGGTGGACTGCCTAAAAGTTATTCAAACTCACCCTAAAAGCACGGAATGATTTTCTCATTTAATTCGGATACACTGCACACTTCACAGACCAGGAATCAAGACTCAGAAGAGTTCAGAAGAGTGTAGGCCACATAGAGCCTGGGTCTCACACCCACCGGTTCCCAGTCTACTACTACGCATGGGCTTGATTTGCTTGCTCAATCACAAAATTTTCCAGGTTTTCCTTTGGCGGAAGATTTAAGTCCCAGACAGCTATCACAGTGAAACAAAGTTCCCAAATACTTCAGTGCAATGTTTCTCAAAGGACAGCAAGTTGCCTTAAAAATGCAGAATTCTTGGCTCCGTCATAGGCCCACTGAAATAGAATCTTTGCAGATAAGGACCAGGATTTTGAGTGGTGGCGGGTGCCTGTAGTCCCAGCTACTCGGGAGGGTGAGGCAGGAGAATGGCCTGAACCCGGGAGGCGGAGCTTGCAGTGAGCAGAGATCGCGCCACTGCCCTCCAGCCTGGGCGACAGAGCGAGACTCCATCTCAAAAAAAGAAAAGCTCCTCAGGTGATTCTGTTGCATACTAAAGTTTGAGAACCATTGCCTTTGAGAAGAAACACTCGATTTATGGATGGAAAGGAAGAAGCTTTCCATCTGCAAATTAAAAATAATCCTTATTAGTGACAACTAATACTAAATACTATTACTGAAACTAAAAGGAAATAAGATTTGCTGTTGGGAGGTAGTACTACAAATTTATTTCCAAACATATTTATCATGAAATGGATGGCTACATGATATAAACAGCTGCATGTACATTTCAGGTGGATCACGTTACACTTTAACATGTACGCACAGGAGTGTGCACACATGTACACACAGTCTCCCAAACTGCATTCCCTTGAACTAGGTAGATATGTATAGAGGCATGCCATTAGAATGTTTGTTTCCAAAGACACATATTTGGTTGAAAAAAGAAATCAGTTTAAGCCAGTTACATTTGAGGTATAACAGAAAAAATTACCCCTGTAAGAAGAAATGGAACAAAATACCACCAAAATAATTTTATTAGTGACAAATTGACAATATATATATTCATGACTTTATTATAGATAATTGTTTTGGGTTGGTGCAAAAGTAATGCAGTTTTTACCATTCTAAAAGTAATGGCAAAATCTGCAATTTTTTTGGTGTTGAGAAGGTGCAATTTTGTATTTTGCTTTTTGTTAACTACCAATATAATAGATAGTGCTCAGTTGCCGTGTTTTATTTCATTGTTTGTACCATATTTACCAGACCATTCCTTTATGTCTGTATAAATATTACAATTGTTTCTCTTTTTTTCTTCTAGTAATTATCAAACTAGTTGGTTATTTCTGGAGTTGGAGTTGGGGAGGGGGAAGTTTGGAAGAAATGTTATTAATGATCTTTAGTTATTGCAAGAAATAGTGTTCTGATTTACCAAACATCCTTTTCTTCCAAAACGTTACTTCTGCTACCTTCAGTAAATGTTAAATGTAGAAAGATGAACTGACACGTATTGGGAGCAGATGGAAAATATGTTCATGTATTGTTCTTACCTATAAGCACACATATATTCTTTACATTTTTAAATGTAAATCATCTCACACAACTAATATAAGCACTAATTTCAATAGATACAATTTTTAAACTTTGTTACATATTATCAGACCGCTTATTTTTCAAAGAGGCCAACAAAACACTATACATTTTCTAACTCAACTATCTCACTTTTTGTTTGTTTGTTTTTTTAGTAGAGACAGGGTTTCACCATACTGGCCAGGCTGATCTCTAATTCCTGACCTCAAGTGATCCGCCTGTGTTGGCATCCCAGAGTGTTCATTATTCTTATAGTATTGTTTCAGCAATACTATAAGCAAAGTTCTCATTCTGTCGCCACCAGTAGACCTCTCTGAGCTCTCCTTGAGGCCACCAGTTCCTTGCCATCTCTATTGCTAGAAGACCATCTGCCTCCCATTAACAGACTTCTTCTTCTGTAATACTGGATCACATGATGGACTTAGAAGTTGAATTGCTAGGATAATAATTGATAGGAATTAATAGATTTTTCTTCCATCTGGATCAATTAAGGTATACTCTGGCAAATGGAAATTAAACATGCTTGCTTTATTTATTTATTTATTTATTTAGAGCCAGAGTCTCGCTCTATTGCCCAGGCTGGAGTGCAGTGGCGCAACCTCGGCTCAGTGCAACCTCCACCTCCCAGGTTCAAGTGATTCTCTTGCCTCAGCCTCTCAAGTAGGTGGGACTACAGGCGCCTACCACCATGCCCAGCTAATTTTTGTACTTTTAGTAGAGAGGGGGTTTCACCACGTTGGCCAGGCTGGTCTCGAACTCCTGTCCTCTGGACCTCCCAAAGTGCTGGGATTACAGGCGTGAGCCACCACGTCCAGCCTAAACATGCTTTAATATGGGGAATTATGTGCTGAAAATCATTAAAAGGATTGGGAGAGCACAGAAGGCAGGGGTTACTAGAATTCCTTCCAGATCAATACTGCAGAACCGGCCATCCTGGGGAGCTACTACTTCCGTAACAAGTGGGAAGCTAGGGAACAAGAAAGCCACAGCCTTGGCTGTGGGCTGCAGGACTGTCCCACCTCAACTGAGATCCAGGCATGAGAAAGCTGCGGGCTTGGCTCCAGATTGTGCTGCAGCTTTGGGATTCACACCAGTGTTGTGATTGTCTCACACCCTGTCCTAGCTCTCCCAGCTGAACTGGGTTCCAAACTAAAACATGGTATGCATGCATCTGAACAGCAAAGCCTAAATCACTTTTGAATCTCTATCAAGTGTAGTTACAGAAATACAGGTTTTTACTTTCATTGTAGTTTTTTGTTGTTGTTTTATTTTCCAGCCTCTGCCATCCAGGAAGGCATGCCAGAAAAACAGTTGGAAGAGATGCTGAGCAAACCTATCAGAATCTTATGACATCTTAACTATCCCCTTGCTATGGTCTGAATGTTTGTGTCCCTGCAAAATTCATATGTTGAAACCCAACCCCATGGTGATGGCACTAAGAGGTGAAGCCTTTGGGAGGTGATGAGGTCATGAGGACTCTGCTGTAATGAATGGGATTAGTTTCCATGTAAAAGAGGCCTGAGGGAGCTTGTTTGTCTCTTCCACCATGAGGACACATAGAAAGTACCATCTATAGGCCGGGCACCGTGGCTCATGCCTGTAATCCCAACACTTTGGGAGGCCAAGGCAGGCGGATCACCTGAGGTCGGGAGATCGAGACCAGCCTGACCAACATGGAGAAACCCCATCTCTACAAAAAATACAAAATTAGCCAGGCATGGTGGTGCATGCCAGTAATCCCAGCTACTCGGGAGGCTGAGGCAAGAGAATAGCTTGACCCTGGGAGGCGGAGGTTGTGGTGAGCCGAGATCGTACCATTGCACTCCAGCCTGGGCAACAAGAGCAAAACTCTGTCTCAAAAAAAAAAAAAAAAAAAAACACAACCATCTATGAGGGACAGGCTCTCACCAGACACAAAATCTGCATGTGCTTTGAACCTCCCTGTCTCCAGAACTGTGAGCAGTAAATTTCTGTTGTTTCTGAATTACCAGTCTCAGGTATTTTGTTAGAGCCACCCAAATGTACTAAGACAGAAACCCCCTTCACCATTTCCCCCTGACGCTCTCCTCTAACTCTTACCTCTGTATTACAATGCTACTCTTGGAAAGGTTTCTGTTCTCACTGTCTCAACTTCCTAACCTCCCACTCATTTCTTAACCTACAAAATACTATTAGGGCTGGGCGTGGTGGCTCATACCTGTAATCCCAGCACTTTGGGAGGTGGAGGTAGGTGGATCACTTGAGGTCAGGAGTTCGAGACCAGCCTGGCCAATATGGTGAAACCCCATCTCTACTGAAAAAAAAAAAAAATATATATATATATATATATATATGTATATAATTGCACCTCTATTGAAACACCTCATATCATAGGACCTATCCAATCTCTCTTTTTTCCCCTTCTACTCTCCTTCCCCTCCTATTTAGTGTCTTCCAAGTTCTGCATTTAGCATCTCACTCTTCTAAGTCTGTATATTCTGATCCTATCTACTTGTACACCATTATCTACCATAGGGGTTAATCCCCCATACCCTAATACCAGACATAACATCTTTCCCAGGAATAGACTCAGATCTCCAACTGCATCCTGAATGAGTCCACCTGAATATCACAAGCACCTCAAATGCAACATGTCCAATACGAAATTCATGGTCTTATTTGTCATTCTTTGAATCTGATATTCAAAATCGGTTCTTCTCCTCTGCACTATCTGTGTGTAACCTGCACAACTTCACCCACGTGCTGAAGCTAGAGCCCTGGAAGTAAATTTGATTCTTCTCTTCCCTTTTCTGTTACTATATTCAAACTGTCTTGAAGGCCCATACATTCAGTGTAAGGCTTTTACCTGAGTTCTGAGTTTAACAGTTGCTCTTTAAAGAAAGACCTCAGACATGCACATTCTAGCACTTTATTGGAACTTGGTTGTGTACATCAATGAGATCACATCAAAGTAAAAGCAGCATTTTCACACAATAATATCCCGATATCTGTGCTATCTTCTTACATAATTTAATAAATCCCAAGATGCTCCTGATTTTGGTATCGAAGAGCTTGAGTGGTCCAGAAATATCTCTACATAAATATAAATCATCACATCTAAAATAACCATCATTGTTTTAGTAGGTCCCAAAAGTCCTGGGAACACCTCTTAAAATATAATTGCCATAGGCTGGCTGCAGAGCTGGTGGGAGGGAGTGAAGGGGGTACACGTGGAGCTAATTACAGCAGGAGCTGGGCAGAGGGACACACACAAGGGGATGGGGGCCAGAGATCCCGAAAGCTGGGCAGGGAACTCAGTCACCCTGCATTTTCCAACATTGCTTGAGTGTCAAAGCTAACAGATGTGAGACTCCAGTGCAGAAAGAAGCCCATCACCCCAACTCCCTTGGCAGTGCCCAAAGATGGCACAGCCTTCCTTCAGATTACACAGGGGCAGAGATTCTGGAATGGAGAAGGTTCTGGAAAGCTCTACCCATCACCCTCCAAACTGAGAAAACATGAAGGAATGGCACCTTAAAGAAAATACTTTGGGCCAAAGTGCTGCTGGCCCCTTGGAATGGGGACAGGGTGCTCTTGGCTTGGTTTGACCTGAGGGGCACTGGCAAAGTCTGCTCTGCCCCCAGTATCTCCCTCACCACCTTTAAGGCCATCATCAGCAATCAGGTTCTCTGGTTCTTGAAAGCTTCTCAGGATTCAGCATAACACCCTTATATCTGTGGTAGCTTTACTGATCACAAACAGCTTTCACATCCACTAAGTCAGGTGGTTCTCACATCCCTATGAGGTAGAAAGGGCAGGGATCACCATCCCCATTTGAAAGATAAGGAACCTGGAACTCAGAGAGTTAGGTCCCTTGACCAAATTCACACAGCTGGCTCGTGGCAGAATCAAAACCAGAACTCAGGTCCATGCCCCAAAGTCCCTCCTGCTGCTTTTCTGAAGACAGGAAGAGGCTGGGGATAGGATGCCTGTCCTCATCCCTCACCCGGCCCTCTTGGGAGGCTCTCAAACAGCCCCACTAAGGATCGGATGAGTCCGCATGCGATAGATGATTACTGCAGTGGCTGGGCACAGCAACAACGAGGTCATGATGACAATGGTGGCCAGGATGATGAGGACAATAACCCAGATATCCAGGATGTGCTTGGGAAGCACGACTTCCATGGGGACTTGGCTGACTGCATCCATGTTGCTTCACTCTGCAACAGACAAGAAAGGAAGATCACTGTTGCGTACTCTCTCCCTGCCTCCCTGGTTAGAAGGAAACCCTCAGGAGTCAGAAGCCTGGGTCACTTACCAGATATGTAAACTTTAAGGTTCCCTGATTAGTAATTACAATGGCTTCATTTACTGAGGGCTTCCTATTGCCAGACCTGTGCTAGACACTTTATGTCTATTAACACATTCAGTCCTTACTTGAACCACTGGCCCTATAAGGCAAGGACTATAATTATTGTTTTCTATTTCTTGGCCTTTACCTTCTGTTACACCCATTTTACAGATGAGGACTCTAAAGTCTTAAAAGGCAAGATGACATTAATTTGACCGAGAACATGAACCCAGATGGGTGGGACTCCAAAGCTTTCCTGCTTAACTATTAAGCTACCATACTACCAGTCTGTTCTCTCATCTATAAAATGAGAGATGCATTGTTTTTGGTCCTATACCGCTTCTCCCATTCTCCCCTTTCTGGGGAGAACCTACCTATTCTGTGTGGTTTCGTTGGGACACTGACCTGAGTACAGGGATGGATATGTTTCCATCCCCAGTAACTTATGGAAAAATAAAATTAAAAAGGTATAAATAAATAAATTGTTTGAGCCTAACTACTTAATAAATGGAACTGCTCGGTATTTATTTTGACCTAGGGTGCTGTTAAAAAATGACTAAGACACTAAGGATTCAGTGAATTGAACACGATTGGAAACAGCTATTTGTAGTCTGCCCCTCTCCCACTCTTCCCCCCAAGTCACCAAAGTCCAAATTATCATTCTTATGCCTTTGCGTCCTCATAGCTTAGCTCCCACATATCAGTGAGAACATACGATGTTTGGTGTTCCATTCCTGAGTTACATCACTTAGAATAATAGACTCCAATCTCATCCAGGTCACTGCAAATGCTGTTAATTCATTCCTTTTTATGGCTACGTAGTATTCCATCATGTGTATATCTCACAGTTTCTTTATCCACTTGTTGATTGATGGGCATTTGGGTTTGTTCCATGATTTTGCAATTGTGAATTGTGCTGCTATAAACATGTATGTGCAAGTATTTTTTCGAATAATGACTTCCTCTGGGTAGATACCCAGTAGTGGGACTGCTGGATCAAAAGGTAGTCCTACTTTTAGTTATTTAAGGAATCTCCACACTGTTTTCTATAGTGGCTGTACTAGTTTACACTCCCACCAGCAGTGTAGAAGTGTTCCCTGTTCACCACATCCACACGAGCATTTACTGTTTTCTGATTTTCTTTTTATTATGGCCATTCTTGCAGGATTAAGGTGGTATCGCATTGTGGTTTTGATTTGCATTTCCCTGATCATTAGTGATGTTGATCATTTTTTCATATGTTTTTGACCATTTGTACATCTTCTTTTGAGAATTGTCTGTTCATGTCCTTAGCCCACTTTTTGATGGGATTCTTTGGTTTTTTCTTACTGATTTGTTTGAGTTCGTTGTAGATTCTGGATATTAGTCCTTTGTCAGATGTATAGATTGTGAAGATTTTCTCCACTCTGTGGGTTGTCTGTTTACTCTGCCGACTGTTCCTTTTGCCATGAAAAAGCTCTTTAGTTTAATTAGGTTCCAGCTATTTATCTTTGTTTTATTGCATTTGCTTATGGGTTCTTGGTCATGAAATCCTTGCCTAAGCCAATGTCTAGAAGGATTTTTCCAAAGTTATCTTCTAGAATTTTTATAGTTTCAGGTCATAGAGTTAAGTCCTTAATCCATCTTGAGTTGATTTTTGTATGAGGTGAGAGATGAGGATCCAGTTTCGTTCTGCTACATGTGACTAGCCAATTATCCCAGCACCATTTGTTGAAAAGGGTGTCACTTCCCCATTGCATGTTTTTGTTTGCTTTGTTGAAGGTCAGTTTGCTGTAAGTATTTGGGTTTATTTCTGGGTTCTCTGTTCTGTTCCATTAGTCTATGTGCCTATTTTTATACCAGTACCATACTATTTTGGTGACTATGGCCTCATAGTGTAGTTTGAAATCAGGTAGTGTGATGCCTTCAGATTTGTTCTTTTTGCTTAGTCTTGCCTTGACTATGCAGGCTCTTTTTTGGTTCCATATGAATTTTGGAATTGTTTTTTCTAATTCTGTGAGGAATGATGGTGGTATTCTGATGGGGATTGCGTTGAATTTGTAGATTGCTTTTGGCAGTATGGTTATTTTCACAATACTTATTCTACCCATCCATGAGCATGGAATGTGTTTCCATTTGTTTGTATCATCTATGATTTCTTTTTAGCAGTGTTTTGTACAAGGAAAACTACAAAACGCTGCTGAAAGAAATCATAGATGACACAATCAAACAACTTAATATGTATTTATGGCCTAACAACTTAGTAGCTGTTTGAAAAAAAAAAATACACGCAAATTGAAAAAAACAGTTTTTATTTCATTCTTAACTAGTTACTAATGGAATATATGCACCTGCTGGACACTGTGTAACTTTTCAAACTTTGGAATAATATTGGACAATGCCATCCTCACTTATTATTTCACATTAATTTTTGCCCAGTACTTGCCATACCATGCAACCACCAAAAAATCAACTTCAGGCTGGGTGCAATGGCTCACGCCTATAACCCCAACACTTTGGGAATCCAAGGTGGAAGGATTGCTTGAGCCTAGGAGTTCAAGACCAGCCTGAGCAATATAGTGAGATTTTAATTCTAATTTAATCTAATTTAATGCTAATTAGATTGGCATGGTGGCTTATATCTGTAGTCCCAGCTACTTGGGAGGCTGAGGTGGAAGGATTGCTTGAGCCCAGGAGGTCCAGGCTACAGTGAGCCATGATCACACCACTGCACTCCAGCCTGGGTGACAGAGCAAGACCCTATCTCAAAAATAATTTTTTTAATCAACTTCATAAATTATAACATTAACAAAAGGCATGTAGTAAGATTAGTGTTAAACTGTGAACTATCTTAAGCTAATCATTTGTAAAGTGTCTGAGAGATGTTGTCAAATATCACTACTTCTGTCAAAAATCTTAAACATCCTGCAGCACTCCCCTCCTTCTAGTGAGTTCACTGGGGCTCCCAGGACACTTCAGTGCTCAGCTTGGGAACCATCGATATAATACATTCCCTGCCCAGAGGGCACAAGGCTGGAACTATCTCCTGCAGGTCCTTTCAAATGTAAGGTCGATAATTCTGTGATTCTAGGTTCCAAGCAAAATTCCTAATTGCAATCCTATTTCCTATTCTTATCTAATCACTAACTTTTCCTTTCTAATGCCCTTGGCTCCATGTCCACTGTTGCCACCCTAAGTAAGGTATTGATCACCATACCCAAAGGAGAGTACCCAAGAAATACATACAAGGATGTTACTTTCTGCATTATTTGTTAAGGCAACAGACACAACAAGTGTCCACTAATAGTAAAATAAAGAAGGGTATATCTGTATAATGGGATGCCATGCAACAATTTTCATGTATTCATTCACTCACCCATTCATTCATTCATTTAACAAGTATATAGTACTTACTCCACATCAATCATTGTTCCAAATGCATTACAAATATTAATTTACTTAATTAATACAGCTACTATGAAAAACAGAATGGAGGTTCCTCAAATAATTGAAAATAGAGTCACTATATGATCTCAGTAATCTCACTTCTGGGCATATAACCAAAGGATTTGAAATCAGTATGTCAAAGAGATTTCTGCACTCCCATGTTTATTTCAGCATTATTCACAAGAGCCAAGTTATGGAATAAACCTAAGTGTCTATTAACCATGAATGGATAGAGATAATGTGGCATATACTCAATGGAATATTATTTAGTCTTAGAAAAGAAGGAAATTAGTGCCATTTGTGACAACATAGATGAACATGAGGACATTATGCTAAAGGATATAAGCCAGGCACAGAAAGACAAATATCTCAAGTTCTCATTTATATATGGAAGCTAAAAATATCAGACCCATAGAAGCAGAAAGCAAAGCCTCTGGTGGTCACCAGAGGCTGGAAGGTCGGGGGAATGGGGAGATACTGGTCAAAGGGTATTATGTTTCAGTTAGGCAGGAGGAATAAATAAGTACTGAGATAAAAAAATTAATTTATTTATTAGTCATTTAAGAGGAATCTGATCTGTAGTGAACTCCAAAAGTTTTAAGTGGAAAAAATAAAAATAAAGTGCAGAACACTTGTGTATAGGATGATTCCTTTGGTTCAGATTTTGTAGAATTAAGTAGGGAAATAGGCGAGGATATATACAGGAAAATTACTTTCTGAGTGTACTCTCAAGAAAGTGTTAATAGTGGTTACCTTTTCGGGAGCTGGACTAGGAATAAGAGGTTTTGCTTTTCATTCTTCATTCATAAAACATGATTTTATGCCGTTTGAATTTTCTCAACATGAGCATTTATTACTTCTAATTTTTTATGCCAACTGGGTTAAGGGGGCAAAGAGGCTTTTTTTTTGTTTTTGTCTTAATAATTCTCCATCTTAAAAAGTAAAAACACACATATACAATTTTAAAATCAAATAAAATTAAGAGATGAGACTAGATCAGCAGTCACCAAATGCCACATACCATGGTAAGTGACCTTAAGACAGTATAAAAGAACACTGATTTCTGGGTCTCAATCCATACATACTGAATTAGACTCAAAGGGGATGAGGAGGAGCCCTTTTTTCCCATTGTCCAGGTGATTCCAACGTGCAGCCAGATTTGGGAACCTCTGGACTCAACAAATCTTTAAGACCCCTAAGGCCTTTTCTGGCATTAAGATTTGGGAATTGATTCCCAGGTGCTCTGCAGCCAGGCTGGGCAGATCTGGGCAAGTTCCCAGATGAAGGAGAAGCCTCTGACAAAGCTCCCCAGGGCCATAGGATTATCTGCCGAGCTTGCAGAGGAGACAGAAGCACAGGCTGGCCCTGTCTCAGCCTAGGAAATGGAGTAACTTTCCCCAAGGTCTAAGACACAGAAGCATGAGTCACAGGAGACTGAAACTGTTAGAGGACCGGGGGCGGGATAAATCATTCTTTGTGGTCTCCTGACTACATCAACAGCTAGCTGCCTTAGACTAAAGGAACCCCACAAGAGTCCTTTCCTGTAAACCCTTTAACATCAAACAGTCTTCCTGACTTCAAATGCCAGGAAGACGTAATCACCCTGGCTGATTTTCATAAGCAAAGCCTGTAAGATACAGGAACTCAGGCTTCGGGGCTCATCCACAATCAAGAATCCTGGAACATTAAAGCTAGAATGAGTGCCATTTCACAGATGGTGAAACTGAGGTCCAGGGGGTCTTCTCCCTCCTGCAGTCTTACTCCTTAAGGGAATAATCATTCAAATACATAGATCTGATCGTGTCGCTGCCCCTAACTAAAACAAAACAGAACAAGTAGATGAATAAATGAAATTCTTCTGTAACCTGTATCCTAGACTGTACTAATATTACTCTTTTGCAAATGAAATTGTTATTCTAACCCCAATACCCAACAGCTAAAGTAAGGCTGCTCTAGTAGAGCCTGGAAAGTGGGGGCCTGGCAGGGGAAGCGTGCAGTCCTACCTACCCAGCAGAGCTGAATACATTATCCTCAGAGACCCTAAGCACTAGAGATGAGGGTGCCCACCCCCTTCACATATGCAATTCAAACTAAAAATAATACTACACCATAACACACAAACTTTGCATGTTACGAAATTAAAGTCGGTTCTTTCTTCTAACTGAAAAAATTGGAAAAAACTTTTCCCAGCTGTCCTTTGGCATGCCTGCTCAGTGCAGCGGGCTTACTTGGTAGGGCAGTGCTACTATTCAGTTTCCCCTCGACCCCCTGGGCTCCTCAGAACATAGTGTGAAAGCCACAAGTTGCAATGTTCTCCAAGGGCCCTTCCAGAGCTACTGTTCCAAGATTCTAAGGCTGGCCATAGAAGTAGTCGGGTGTCAGAGGGCACAGGGAGCTCTATCTCCCTGTTTCACTCTTCTCGAAACTCAAACGTGTCCTTTGCTGCACTGTTCTTCCCCATGTAACATGGGTTCCAGTCGCTTCCACCTCTCCCTACTGTCAAAGAAAAATTTTGTCTCCCAAATAAGAGCTAAGCAAACCATATCTTCAGCATCTTTAATTGCACACTAGAAATATTTGCTTGAGAAAAAGCAGGACTCTAAGCTTCTCCTAGCTGACTTCTATTTGACCTCTCTGTCATGAGTGCATAAAACCTTGTTTCTTGGTATGTCTAATATAATAGTCATAGATTAATTTATCATTTGCCTCACAGATATATTGCTTGATATTTCTTATTAATGGTTCATGTTGGATATGGCCCAAACCATTTATGTCACAAATTTATGCCTATCACTGATAAGAATATGATGTTTTTATAACCATAGGAAGTAAAACATCAATCAGGTCTAAACTCTCATTATTTTGAACCAGCATACTTTATCTGCTATTTGCCTCCTTAACAAATAATAAACTTTGACATATGTTCAATATAAGTTTGTCTAAGAAACTGCACGGAAACCACCCTGAGCTCACCAGCAGAAAAGCCACTAGCACCAAACATGCCATCCCATCAGATCACAGGCCCTATACCACCAGCCCTGTGAACTGGACACATCATTGCTCCTCCTCAGTCCATAGGGGTTAAGTAACTTAGCCAATTCAATGGAAAAGTCAACAATCCCAAAATGACTATTTTGTGTCCACTAACAAGACCAAATATAAGGTGGGGGGAAAAGCAATGTAGTTTCTACGAAAGAGGAAAAAAACTTTTTTCTTTTTTTTCTTTTTTTTTTTTTTTTGAGACACAGTCTCGCTCAGTTGCCCAGGCTGGAGTGCAGTGGCGTGATCTCAGCTCACTGCATCCTGTACCTCCCAGGTTCAAGCAAACCTGTGCCTCAGCCTCTTGAGTAGCTGGGACTACAGGTGTGCGCCACCACACCTGGCTAATTTTTGTATTTTTTGTAGAGATAAGGTTTTGCCATGTTGCCCAGTCTGGTCTTGAACTCCTGGCCTCAAGTGATCCGCCCACCTCAGTTTCCCAAAGGAGAGTGACCGCACCTGGTCAAATTTTACTTTTCCAAAGGTAAAAATTCATCCCCTCTTTTAAGTACTCCACTTGATCCAGTTTAGGCAGGCAAAGGGAAGCCCTACTGCCTGATTAGGAAACATCAAATTTTACTTCTGGGACCACTTTTCTTAAGCAATTAAAAGTTCTTTTTGCAAAAGAAAGAATCATTGTTTCGGCCAATCCCACCATTTGGCAAGTTTTCTAGTTATATAAAAATTATATAAATTTCATAAATTAAAATTTCCTACAAGTTGATAGTTTTAGGGTAACTGGATTCAAGGCAACAAGCCTGTGTTATCTACTCGTCAGACTCTCTAGCAAGCAACTTTTTCCTCTCTGACAGGACAATACTGTTTTTATTTTTGGTTCAGTATTATCATGATAAGTAACTCTGTCCAGGATATTCATTCATTTATTCATATGTCAAGTACTTGGTATTTGCAAGATACTCTCTCAGGACTTACTATTACTTACTCCTTATGACTCTGTGCTTCAAGAAGCACAGGGAAGTGAAATACCACTTCCCTTATTTCCTCAAACACAGGATCACACGAGCCAGCATTTGCTTAACAAATTGTATTTGTTTAAATTTGTAAAAACAAAAATAAATTGTTTTATTTCACAAATTTGTACTATTTGTATTTGCTTAACAAATCCCATTCATTAACTTATTAAAACTTCACAAAAATCCTATGTGGGGATTTTACAGCTATAAAAACTAAAACTGAGAGAGGTTAGCCAGCCATTGATCATAAAGCTAAGTGAACAGGATTCATACTCAGGAATCCTGATTCTGCACTTACTTACCACTACACTACAGCTACCTCCAAAGAGTCCACACAGACCCAATGTATAAGCATGGAGTATACCAGACCCACAGCTTTCTTCTAAGTCCAGGTCAAACACTGTTTTCAGCTGAAGGCCATTCCATATTTAGAGAATTAAGAAGAGATACGCAATCTATAAAGATCAGGACTTCCGATTCTGGTAATGGTGAACTAGACAATTTGGACTAGTCCTTTTACTGAAGACAGCTAGAAAAGTGGGACCAAAAAAACCTGATGGAAGGCACTAAGAGCTAATGAAATAATGAAGAATTACCAGTCTTCATTGCTTGAGAAAAAGCAGGACTCTAAGCTTCATTTAGGTTTTTTTGGTCCCACTTTTCTGGGAGAAGGCAAAAATCCAGGGAGGAGAGCCTGTCATTTTCCCCTACCGGAGAATGGAGACTGAGCAGTACTGACTCAGGAGACTAAGGGGACAAAAGTTGGAGTCCAAGACTGCCAAGAGAGGGAGAGTAAAACTTCTGCACTTTGAGCTTGGACCTTAAAAAGCACCCTTAGTGCTAAAGATGAACTGGAAGTATACTAGTCCTCCCAGAGACTACAACTCAGCTTTGCATTATCATAGCTCCTGAAATTAAATTAAGGAATCTCCAGGTGCTTGGTAGAAGCAAATATACATCCTCTCTGGAGGCAATATCATCATGATAGGTCTCAAATTATGTTTTGTTTACAAATATAATGTCCAACACATAACCAAAATTAATCAAGAATGCAAAAAGACAGGATGATAAAAACAAAATAATCAGAAACAACAGACAATAGAAAAAAAAGTCTACCGGGGCTCCAGATATTGGAGTCATCAGACAGACACATAGTTCAAATAACTTAGCTTACTATGTTCAAGGAGGAAAAAACTCCAAGTTTGAGAATTTTGACAGAGAATTTGAAATTATAAGAAAGAATAAACAGATTTTTTTAAAAGAATCAAATAGAGGTTACAAGTGGTGGCTCACACCTGTGATCTCAGCACTTTTGGAGGGAAAGGCAGGTGGATCACTTGAGCTCAGGAATTCAAGATCAGCCTAAGCAACATGGCAAAATCCCATCTCCACAAAAAAAATTTTAAAATTAGATGGGCATGGTGTGCACCTGTAGTCCCAGCTACTCAGGAGGCTGAGGTGGGAGGATCACTTGAGCCCAGGAGGCTAGGGCTACAGTGAGCCATGACTGGGCCACTGCACTCCAGTCTGGGTGACAGAGTGAGACCCTGTCTCGAAAAACAACAACAACAAAGAGAACCAAATAAAAATTCTAAAACTGAAAAATATAATAGAAATTTAAAATTCAGTAGATAGGCTTAAAAATTCAGTAGATTAGCCATAGTAAAAGAGAGAATTAGTAAACTGGAAAAAAGATCAGGGGAAAATACTTAGAATGAAGTAAGGATAAACAAAAGGATGGAAAATACAGAAAAAGAAATAGGTAAGAGAGATAGAGGAAACAGTGACAAGGTACAACATAAATATACTGGAGTATCAGAAGGAGAAAAGAAAGAATGAAGCAGAACAATATTGGAGTAAATAATAACAGAAGTTTCCAAAACTGATGAAAGACACCAATTTGCATACTAAAGATGTCCCATGAACTCCTAGCAGAATACATAAATTGGAATCCATAATTAGAAATATAGTAAATCTGGCCAGGTACAGTGACTCATGCCTGTAATCCCAGCACTTTGGGAGGCTGAGGTGGGCAGATCATTTGAGGTCAGGAGTTTGAGACCAGCCTGGCCAACATGGTGAAACCCTGTCTCTACTAAAAATACAAAAATTAGCCAGGCGTTGTGGCACACGTCTGTAGTCCCAGCTACTTGGGAAGCTAAAGCAGGAGAATCATTTGAACCCAGGAGATGGGGGTTGCAGTGTGCCAAGATGGCACCACTGCGCTCCAGCCTGAGCAACAGAGTGAGACTCCATTTCAAAAAAAAAAAAAAAAAAAAGAAAAGAAATATAGTAAATCTGCTGAGATCCAAAGATAAAGAGAAATAAGACAGAATATCTTTAAAAGAGAAACAGTTAGATTGACAACCAACTTCTCAACAGAAACAATGGAATTTAAAAACAGCAGAATGATCTCTTCAAAGAGGTGAACAGAAATAACTGCCAAGAATAATGGTGCAATAAGACATTTTCAGGCTAGGTGCGGTGGCTCACACCTGTAATCCCAGCACTTTGAGAGGCCAAGGCAGGCAGATCATTTGAGGTCAAAAGTTCAAGACAAGTCTAGCCAACATGGTGAAACCTGTCTCTACTAAAAATACAAAAATTAGCCAGGTATGGTGGCACACGTCTGTAATCCCAGCTACTCGGGAGACTGAGGCAAGAGAATCGCTTGAACCTGGGAGGCAGAGGTTGCAGTGAACCAAGATTGTGCCACTGCACTCCAGCCTGGGCAACAACGCGAGACTCCATCTCAAAAAAAAAAAAAAAAAAAAAAGACATTTTCAGAAAAAAAAAATACAGAATTAAAGTATTCAAGAGCAATAACAAACAAATTCTGGAAGAAATAGAATTAAAGTATTTTGATTTTCTTGTATTGCCTAAGAAAGGGCAGAAGAACCAAATCATATTAGACTTTGTTAAATCAAGGATGCATATTGTAACCTCTATGGTAGCCACTAAAAATATCAGTCAAAGAGTGCATAATTTCCAGCGGAAAACAGGAGAGGAGAAAAACAACAACAAATACTTAGAATAAAGGGGACAAATAGAAAGCACAGAGAAAGATGGTAGATTTAAACCCAAACTAACAAGGACCGTTAGGGTACATATAAATAAGGATAAAATATACACATACATATATATTTTTTATAAGAGACACATGGGGATTGGAAGGGTTAAAAAGTCAAAGGATACAAATGAAACACCGTGTAACCATGAATCACATACGCTGGTAGTCCCTTACTAGTATAAGGCCAAGTAGACTTTTAGGCAGAAAGTATTACTAAAGATACCAAAAAGGTAAAGTGATTTTCTATTTTTAGGTACCTAATCTCAGAATTATAAGGAGAAATAGACAAATCTGCAATTATAGTGGGAGATTTCAAGATGTCTCTCTCAGATCTTGTGGGGAAAGGCAGGATGAGCAGAATAGATGTTATCAACAAAGCCCAGAGTTGATGAGATACATGAAGTGTTGGAAGCATATGGAGTCCTGGTGGCTTTGGCAAGAGGTTTAACCTCTTTGAGCTTTAGTCTCCTAATTTGTAAAATGGAAATAATAACTAATAATTGTAACCACTTCATAGGGATGCTCTGGAGGTTAAATGAGCTAATGCGCATAAAGCACTTAGGACAACGTCTGGTACACAGTAAGGGCTTCACGAAGTTAAGCTGAGCTAGTGAACCCGGCATCGTTCCTAAATCACAAGGTCAAGAGATGGAGACCATCCTGGCCAACATGGTAAAACCCTGCCTCTACTAAAAGTACAAAAATTAGCTGGGTGTGGTAGTGCACACCTGTAGTCCCAGCTACTCGGGAGGCTGAGGCAGGAAAATCGCTTGAACCCAGGAGGTGGAGGTTGCAGTTAGCCAAGATCACACCACTGCTCTCCAGCCTGGTGACAGAGTGAGATTCCGTATCAAAAAAAAAAAAAAAAAAAAAAAGGGAGTTCAAAGCCTCTGCCATTAGTTAGGGTGCCGTGACTGCTTCGTGACTGATCTGGGCCCAATGTAGGAAACCACAGTGAAAAGTTTTTTTAAGTAAAAAAATTTTAAGCTGTCCCCAGCTTGAACCTCCCACCGGAAACTTACACCCTCCACATCCGAGCTGCAACTAACAGTCAACTTTTGAGAGCTTGCCAATGGTTATCCAACCGGTTTTACTGCCAGAGTTCACTGAGGAAGAAGGCAATAAAAGAAGTGACTGCCTGCTGGCAGGCAAGCTTAATTATCTCAAAGTGGGAGACAAGGCAGATAGAGGCAGGTGGCTTCCTGCAGGTGTGGCCTTAGCCCAGCACTGCCAGAACTCTGGGCAGACCATGCTGCTGCTGTTTTGTTTCCACCAGCCACGGTGGCCAGAGAGCAGACAGCTATAACCAGCTCCAAGTCACTGATGCTGAGGCGTCCAAAGATACATGACTCTTCAAGTATTTTGCAGAATGTGAACAAGGCTGATGGTTCCCAGGGCACAGGACTAGAGGGTTTGCCAGCATTGTCCACCTTATAGGACCCCTTCCAAAAAGTCTCCACCCTCAGAAGATGCTGCTGAGGTTGTCAAGGAAGAATGGAACATTTAAGCCAGAGAGGGCAATTCAAGTTCCTAGATGGGGCCACACTGGCCACTTTGTAGCCTGGGGAACCTAACAACTGTGTCCCAGGGGCTGATCCCACTTGAAGAACTTTGTGTTTGCTGTTCCTTCTCAGAATGCTCTTTTCCTCCCCTGTCCATTGTCTCAATGTCCATGACCTCAACCTAAATGTTACGTTTTAGTAAAGTTTTTCCCGACCCACTCTGTTAAACTATCACTCTTATCTTGTTTTATTTTCTGCATATGCTTTTCACAATCTAAAATTAGCTTGTTTGTTGCTTGTTTGTTTTTATTGGCTTTTTTCCTATCAGGCTAAAGACTTGTTCATTTGCTCCCTCAAACGCAAGCACAGGGAGAGCAGAAGCCTCACCTCTTGTGTATTGCTGTGTCCTCAGCACCTATCACAGGGCCTGGCATATCACAAGTGCCAACAAATATGAAATCAATGAAGAAATGAATATGGGAAGATTATTTCAGATGTGAGCTCACTCGTGGAACCTAATTGACTGAAGAGGTCCAGAAAGAATCCTCATCCCTGCAAAAGTCCCAGTGATTCTAAAAGTCAGAACACTATCTCCAAAATAACATGATGTCCTCTGATTTTATCATTTTCTGGGCTCTTTGTACATTCAGGAAGGATTATGGGGGGCTCTTTCTTCCCCAGCCCACCCTGTACATACCAGGCAGAAGAGAACTGGCCTTTCAGAACGAAGCCCTCTAGGATTCCCACTTGTTGATTTGCTTGGGCCGATAAGCTCAAATTCGAGTTCTGACTCCATGTGCTCAGGAGCTGGGGACTGAGGTGGGGAGGAGGGACCAGGGGTGAGGGGAGCAGTGATGTTGCCCAAGATGTGAATCTTTCTGTTCTTAGAAGAGGTCAGGGAGGCTGATAAAAGTGGGGGCAGGTTTCCCATGCCAAGTCCAATATGAGAAGGACATACCAGCTTCACATTTACTCTTGGAAGTATTTCTCCTCCCACTGTGTAACAGCCTCAAACATTTACCAACCCAGCACAGTCATTTCACCAGGGACCTTTGGTCCAAATAAAGGGGCCAGAGGAAGGAATGGACAGGACATACAACTACCAAAAATGTGAAATGAATCAAATCACAGCCTTTTCTCCAATGACCCAAAGTCCCTAAGGAGCACTCTGTTCTCATTTCACCCCAACTGGCCCCTGTCTCTCCAAACTTCCTAACAGACTACAGACCTGCCTGAGTTTCCATCTGCTCCTCTGTGGCTGGAAAAATGGAAAAACACCAAGATATTTCAAAGAGATCGGAACACAGCCAGAGCTGTGTAAGACCGCACGTACCATCTGACCCAGCCAATCACAGAGTCTTAGAAACCAACAGAGAGCTAGCAGAGGAGAAAGCCCAGGCCAAATCCCCAGCATCCTGTTTAAGGCACTACTATCCATCATTGCTATTTGCCAGTGACTAAGTGCCTGCTGTGTGTCGGGCTAACAAAGGAGACTGTCCATGAGAGGTGCTGGCAGGGTGCTCCGTGACAGAGCTGCAAGAGCACCGGGCGGTGGTAGTGCCTTGCCTCAATGTGTGAGCCTCAACAGGTCGCTCTCCCAAAGTCAGCCTCATGTGTGTGGAAAGCAGAATAATGCCCACCACCACCACCACCAAAGACATCTATGTCCTGGTCCCCAGAATCTTGAATATGATCCTATATAGTGGGTCACTAGCAAGAAACATATCCAATCAGCCAATCAGAGTGCAAATCAATAAAATAAGGAAGCTCTATCTATACACAACTAAGCAATTTAAAGTATATGGTTTAGACGTGGAATCTAGCTTGCTGTTGTTTAATGTGCCAGGCAATTATACTTCTGAGCAGTTCCCCTTCCTAACTACCTAATTCTTAGCCTTTACTGCTAGATGTCTCCATTATCTCTTGAGGTTCACCTTCTGTTTCCCTAGTGAGTTGGAAGGATACTAGGTCTCTAGGGATCCACTAGAACAGTGACTATCAAATTCTCACTTAACTTCTCTCAGGTCACCCTGAAAGTAAGTGACAGAGGCAAGATCTGAACCTAGTTCCCCCCAATTCCAATGAAGTTCAGAGAATAGGCCCTGGAGCCAGGGTGCCTGCGTTCAAATTACAGCTCTGCCACTTACTTTCTGTGTGATCATGGGTGAGTCACTCTCTCTGGACCTCAGTTTCCTCATCCATAAAATGGAGGTGATGACAGTCCCTCCCTAATAGGATTGTGGTAAAGCCTAAATGAGTTAATACAAGTAAAATGCTTAGAGTCATGCCTAGCTTATAGTAAGTACTCAGTAAATGGCAAGTATGATCATTATAACATCATTCCGCTTACTGGGCCAGTCAGGGTGGGGGAGGACAAGGCAGGGTGTCGCAATGCCAACACTTACTCCTATACCTCAATAAACTGTGTTTGTGAGTACACGTGCCCATTTTTTATACCACCGCCACACCCAACCAAGATATTCTCTTTCCTTGGAGGTATTTCCTTTGCATGTTTCAATCCATAGAGAAGAAATGGAGGCACAACGTTTAAAGGATTGGCGTATGGCTGAGAAAGCATCTGAGGCTGTGACTGGCCCTTATCCCCTTGGTCTGTCACCCCCAAGGGCCCAGGATCTGACCTGACCACAGGCCCCCAGAGTCTCTCATTTGTTTTGCATCTCTAACACCTCACCGCGACTCAGTGGTTCTCTGGCTGTTCTCTGGGACTCCCCAGATCTTTAGTGTCATGGAGCCACAGTTCTGAGGTTCGGAGAGGTCACTTGTGGGAGAGTTCATGAAGCATGACTTGTAACCCCCACAGCATGATTCACAGTCCCAGGACAGCTGGGAACAGGAGGTCCCGGCTGGAGCAGGAAAACACTTTTTAGTTTTTTTCAGTTGTCACTGCAGAAGCACATGATGTCCTAAAGCTCAGCTGTGCTGCTTTGCGTGTGTCTAGATGGCTGCTGTGCGGCCTGCATAAACCAAAGAGCATGTCATGCTCAACCACAGACAAACATCTGTTCCACTCCCATGTCTTCATTTTACAGATAGGGAAGACAAGGGCCAGAGAGGGGAAATGCCTCCATTAGGGTAATTCAGAGGGTCTCCTAACCCCCAGAGTACCTGTTCTTCCCGCTCCCACCTCCACCTAATTCAGGCATCCCCAATCCTTCCAAACTATGTGGCCACTGCAGTAGCAGCACGCATCATAGCAGATGTTCAAGGAATCTCTGATACTTGTGTGATTGCGCAGCCTTCACCACCACACCCTGGAGCTTTGAGGACCTTAGTATTCACCACAGATGAACCGGAGACTCCTCAGCCCCCAGGTGCAGCAGGATTCCAGCTGGTCCAGAAGAAACAAGTGCAGCTGCATAAGTAAGAGCCCAGCCTGGCCCTCAATCAGAATAACAGCCCCTGAGGTTTGTTTCAATTTGTGGGGGGGGCGGGGGGGGTTACACCTTTCATCCTTTCACTCAGTACATATGTATGGAGCACCTACTGTTAGCCAGGCCCTGCTCCAAGAGCTGAGAATGCCTCAGAGATGACGATAGACAGGCAGTCCCTACCCTCAAGAAACTGGCATGGGGGAGACTAGGGAGCAAAACAACCAGCAACTGGAACAACTACGTCCTCAGGAAAGGGACAGCTAACCAGCAGGAGGGAGCTTGAAGGAAGCCTTCTCTCCAAGATACTTTGCTCATGTCCTTTCTCCTTTGCTTTCTGCACGCAGAAAATGTTTTCCCAATTTCACTGATGGAAAAACAAGGATGGTGAAGCAGTTAGTGACAGAACCAGGGCTGGAACCCGCCACTCCTGACTCCAAACTCCTGGCGCCTTCTACACGGGGCCTCGAGAAAAGCGGGACAGGTAAGTGCAAAGACCCAAACCCAGCGCAGCGCCCAAGCAGGTGCTCAGGCCCGGGCGCTGAACCCTGACGCTGGGCCTGGAGAGCCAGGAGGTGGCAGTCTGCCCGAGGAGGAGGCTTCCCGAGAAGGCAAGGGCAGCGGACCCGGAGAGAAGCCAGTCTCCGAGTGGGGCTGGGGTTCGCCCACCCAAGCTCCGCCTCCCCCAGGCCCAAAATTCTGTGCACTAGGAGGCTCGAACTTAAGAGCTGACAGCAGGAGAAAAAGGAGGGGGTGAGGGCAAGAAATACAAAAGTGATGAAAAGGGAGAAATGGGGAGGAGAGACCGGACATAAAGAAGAACGTTGGGAGCCCGGGGAAAGGGGCCGCACTAGAGGTAGGTCGCGAATCCGAAGAGCTCCGCTCTGCCAGAGCCCCACAAACAATCCCCCGGTGGCCCCACTCACCCCAGATGGCGGCGAGTCTGCGGAAAGTTCCTGGGTCAGGGATGGCTCGGTGCTTCTCAGGGTCCCCAGGACTGCACGGGATCTGGCAGCTGGAAGCGACCCCCAGGCCTGGAACCTCAGCCCTAGGCAGCTCCTGGAACGTGCCCCGGCTCCTCCGAGCCCCGGGAGGCGGGAGAGCGCAGGAGCGGCCAGGACGCGCTGCTGGCTCTGGAATGCGCGGCTGCTGGGGACCGCCCCCGGAACGCCCGGTCCCGGGGCCCCGGCAACTCCAGCTCAGCTCCTCCTCCAGCGTCCCCTGCGGGCTGCGTTCGGGGAGAAAGGAACCTGCGAGAGAAGGGAGAGACCAGGGCGTCTCGGGCTCCCCTTCCACGTTGCCACACACTCGCCGCGTAGCCGTGGACATGTCGCTTGGCTTCTGAGGGTCTCCCCTCTCTGGATTGTAAACCGAGAGGGTTGGCCTAAAATGTGTCCTCCACGACCTTTCCAGCTATAGAGTAGACATGGGAAAGAAAGCCTAGCAAGTAGGTTTGGACAGAGGAGCCGGGACTCAGATCCTGCTTTGCGATGTCCGAAGTGTAGGGTCCTTCGGAGGCTTTGCCACTCTGTTTCATTCTCTGTAAAGTGGGAAAGGTAACACCTGTCTCCCAGTCCTGTTGTGAGGATTGGTTTAGAGGACCAGTGTGAAGCTGGTTGGTTCTCTGCCATAACATGACTTGGAGCATCCTGTTTATTTTGTGATAACAATGAAATAGCCCAATCCAAGGTGATCAAGAGCCCATTAGAATCCAGCATCTGAGAGGCTTCCCACGCCACTGTGGGTGGCCCAGCTTCCACGCAGGACAATGCCAATTCTGTAATCTTCTGCCCCCTCTATGTCATCCATGGAGTGAGGGGGGACTCCCGTCCCATGTTGGCACCCACACTTTTTAATTCACAGTGGTTTTCTTTAATCTTACTCTTCTGAAAAAAAGGAGCACAAGCCTTGACTATCAGTGAGACCTTGAGCAGTCTTGGAGCCCAGTAGTGTTTTGGAGGGTTTGGAAAGAGCCATACTGCCTTCCCCAGGCCTAAATTTGATATGGTGTGGGCCCCGAACTTAGAACTTACTCCATGCTGTTTCCTCTGATTCAGGGATGAGGTCAGCAGAAATGACCTCTAAATCATCATTATCACACGCCAGTTTCTTAAGGGAAGGACAGTGAGGATGAAGGGGATTCACATGAGAAATGATTTGAGAAAAACCCTAAGGGCTGTCACCCAACAACATGTTTTATTCAAAAGAGATAGTGTGGGAACCTAAAAACAAGGACAACCCAATTCTGAATAGTTTAATACAAAGCTCTCATTTAATAGTAAAAAAAGATTGAAGGAGGACAATCTTTTTTTTTTTTTTTTTTTTTTTTGAGACGGAGTCTCGCTCTGTCGCCCAGGCTGGAGTGCAGTGGCATGATCTCGGCTCACTGCAACAGGAGGACAATCTTAATATGACATTTTCCCTGGTTAGTGAAGGGGATGAGAGTTCCTTTGGGTGGACAACTGGTAACTCCATGTGCCCTGCTGTGAACATTGGCTTCCCTCTGGGACAAGGCAGAAGCTCAGGCCTGGAGCCAGCTGAGTCCTAGTCTCCCTTTCCATTTAGCAATTTATTAGTATCTCTTTAATATCGACTTGCCCTGGGACCCTAAAAGCAAGCCAGAAATAAAGTATGAATCCCCACAGGAGCATACCATGTTAAGTCTGCTGCCTAGGCTAGACTGATTTTGCAAAGAGAGCACTGAAGGGAAGAATAATGGATGCTGTGTTGGGATGCAGGAGTGGGGGAAATAGTCAATTTCAGCAACAAGCTTTTGTTACAGCAAAAGCCAGAAAACAGCTCACAACTTCCTTGGTCCTCTATTACAACCACTCCAAAGAGAAAACCATCAGGACCTGAAAGAAATAAGTAATACTCTCTTAGAGAGCCCCTGATACTTTGGGGAACTTGTACAGAAGAAGTTGTAGTCTAATGACATTGGCTGCCATCAAAAGACGGCCTTGGCCAGGGGCAGTGGCTCATGCCTGTAATCCCAGTACTTTGGGAGGCCGAGGCGGGCAGATCACCTGAGGTCAGGAGTTCGAAACCAGCCTGGCCAACATGGTGAAACCCTGTATCTACTAAAAACACAAAAATTAGCCAGGCGTGGTGGCGGGCGCCTGTAATCCCAGCTACTGGAGAGGCTGAGGCAGGAGAATCACTTGAATCCCAGAAGCGGAGGCTGCAGTGAGCCGAATTGCCCCACTGCACTCCAGCCTGGGCAATAGAGTGGGACTCTGTCTCCAAAAAACAAACAAACAAACAAACAAACAAACCACTGCCTAAAGAGGCCCCCATTAGGATGCAATCCATAGCAAATACCCTCTTTAAGAATCATATCTACACGAGACATTTTCTTTTCATTTTTCACTTGTACAAATATATTTATTTACTTTTGGGGAATAATATGACATATTGTATTAGAAATCAGAAAACCAGTATTTCGAGTCTGTCACCCAGTAGCCCACCCAAGCTCCATAAAATAGTAAAATGAGACCTATTCCTCACATCTGGTACAATTATGATGAGTAAATATTTTATTCATATACAGCAGACCCCTGAATAACATCCTTCTGTTATAACGTTGATGAGGAAAAAAAATTGTTTCCCTGCTGGGATCACCGTCTGTGTGGCATTTGCATGTCCTCCCCATGTCTTCCTGGGTTTTCTCCAGGTACCCCGGTCAGTTTCCTCCCACATCCCGAAGATATGCATGTTAGGCAAACTGCTGTGTCTATGTAGTCCCAGTGTGAACGATTGTGGGTGTGGGTGAGTCTGCTCTGCGATGTGATGGCGTCCTGTCCAGGGCTGGTTACTGCCTCGAGCCCTGAGCTGCCGGGACAGGCTCTGGCCACTGAACTCTAAACTGGAATAAGCAGGTAAATAATTCTCTTCCTTGTTTTTACTAATCTTTCTTAAATGTATGTATGGTTCACAATTATTTCAGTGTTCAATATTGGAAGTGTTTTAGTCTTTATTTAGAAGTTTGGTGGTACTTTTGTTATCAGAAATATGCTGTAGGAACTTAACTCTTCTTTCTGTCCATTTGTCTATGGTAAAATTGGTTTCCTTATACATAGTTTCACTCAAAATCAAAGTGTCCAAAACCTGTTGAGGAGGCTGAGTGAGGACTTACTGTATTCCTTCATTCAAAGCTATTTATTGAATATCTCCTACATGTTCTAGGCACTAAGGAAGACAAATTATCTTTATTTATTGTGCTTACATCTACTGGGAAAATATTCACAAAAAATAAGTAAGCAAATAAATAAGCAAGATGATACCGGTTTGCGAAACCATGAAGAACATAAAGCAAGATGATGAGAGAGTGATGGAGAGTGTTTTATCATGGAGATTGTAGTTAAACTGAATTTCCTAAATAGTTTATATCATCAATGATTATGTTACTCTGTAATATATCAACTTAATTTCCAAGGTCTTTAATTAACTGAGAATTTAGATTGATACTAAATCAAGTAAACTGGTGAATAATCTTAGCTGCTTGGATAATTTCTAAGAAAGATAGAATACAAAAACATTGGTCACCAAGCATGGTATTGAACACCATTTGCACACCTTTGCCTCTTATTTTTATATGTTTGAGAGTTGATAAACCTTTGGATTATATTAACGTATATGTTTTATTTTACCACTTAAAGAAATGCAAAAGGAGTCAGCACAGTGACTCACGCCTGTAATCCTAGCACTTTGGGAGGCTGAGGCTGGTGGATCTCTTGAGGCCAGGAGTTCGAGACCAGCCAGGCCAACATAGTGAAACCCTGTCTCTATTTAAAAATACAAAAAATTAGCCGGGAGTGGTGGTGCACATCTGTAACCCCAGCTACTCGGGAGGCTGAGGCAGGAGACTTCCTTGAACCTGGGAGGCAGAGGCTGCAGTGAGCTGAGATCGTGCCACTGCACTCTAGCCTGGATGACACAGCAAGACTCTGTCTCAAAAAACAAAACAAAACAAACAAATATATATATATATATATATATATATTTATATATAATTTTTATATTTTTAGTAGAGACAGGGTTTCACCATGTTGGCCAGGCTGGTCTTGAACTCTTCACCTCAGGTGATCTGCCTTCCTCGGCCTCCCAAAGTGCTGGTATTACAGGCATGAGCCACTGTGCCCAGCCTGCTTCATATTTCTTAATTGGCTCAATAATGTTGTTAGAATTTCATTATATATTAAGCCCACATGATGTTTAATAAATAAGTTGTCTTCCTTATGTTACTTTTTAAAGTAGATTTGTCCTTGTCCCCATTACCCTTGAGAATACACTGACAAAATCCATAACACAGTAGAAGATTTTATTCTCCCCTATTCTGATATAGTTGTTTACTGTAATAAATTAATAGAGCCTTAAATTTAATCAACAAAAGGTGGTTTTTATTTTTCTTCCATGCTTGCCTAAAGACCTCTGCTATAAGCTAAAGAGGTCAACAAAGGACAGCCCCAGAGCCTTGGTGGAAAAGATTTTATCAGATGCTCTTAGCTAGAATAGACTTACAGCCCCAGCCTTATCAGTATTCGCTGACTTCTGACCACAAGTAGACATCTATAGACTGAACCACAGCACTGAATCAGGATTGCTAGGACTCTTTTGTCCTGAAGCAACAAACCATGGAAGTATACTGCTGATCCAAGATTTGTGAGTCAAGAATGAATCACATTAGCCTAATAAGCCAACAAGGGAAATATAATCATGATTATTTGTTTTGGAATAGTGTTAGATTGTTTTTAATGTCCCATTTTCTGATGAGTGTAAGAGGAAGTCCTTTCTTCTTCATCTATTGCTAACCCTCATTTTAACAAACTATGCTTATTGCAAACTGAAATGAAATATTTTTAATGATACCTTGTTCCCACTGGCCCATCAGAATTTGAGAGTAAATATTTTTACTGAATCCTTGGCTATGTAATTATTTGAACAGATTCAACGAATCTGCCATCCTTTTTACCAAGATGTATTGAAAAAATCAATCATATAATCAAAGCCATCCAAAGAGTTATATTTGAGAATAAATTTCATTTAATCAGCTATAATCACATAACCATTAAAGAATAAGTGTAGTACTTCCTTTGCAGAAGCAAGGCTACAAAGCCTTCCCAGAAAACTGATCTGGTACCTATTATTTGGCTTACAGGGTTCCAGCATTGTGCTAGTAATGTGTATTAGGCTTCTCTTGCATTGTCATAAAGAAATATCTAAGCCTGGGTAATTTATAAAAGAGGCTTAACTGGCTCACGGTTCTGTGGGGTGTATAGGAAGCATCGCTAACAGTCATGGCAGAAGGTGAAGCAGGAGTAGGCACGTAACATGGCGAAAGCAAGAGCAAGAAAGAGAGGGGGAAGGTGTCACACACTTTTAAACGACCAGATCTCAAGATAACTCACTATCATGAACACAGTACCAAGGGGATGGCACTAAACCATTCATGAGAAAACTGCCACTATGATCCAGTCACCTCCCACCAGGTCCCATCTCCAACAGTGGAATTACATTTCAGCATGAAATTTGGGCAGGGACAACATCCAAACTATATCATAATGCTTACTTACCATCAGGCCAGCAAATTTAGCAAACGCTAAGGCCCTTGGGAAAAGAGAAAGTCACTCACTTTTAAAGACTGCATATAAAATCAGATGGAAATTAATGTCTTGGCTCTGGTTTTCTGATATTGGAATAAATGAGCAAAGAAGAAAAATTTTAAAATATAAATTATTACCCTAGAAAAATATTCATTTGATGCAAAAGAAAGCAATAAAGGAAGAATAAAAGAGTGAACATACTTGAAAGATATAAAAACAAAAAGTGAAATAGCAGATTTAAATCCAGCTATATCAATAATAACATTAAATGCAAATGGATTCAACAGTCCTATCAAAAGGCAGTGATTATCAGATTGGATTTTAAAAAATGCAAAGAACAAGATCCAACCTATATTCTGTCTTCAGGAGGCACACTTTAGATTCAAAGATATAAATAGATTGAAAGCAAAAGAAAGGATAAAAAATATATATATACATATATATAACGCAAACAGCAACCATAGGAAAGCTGAAGTAAAAATAAAGATTATAATGGAGCTGAAAAATCCCTATCACTTAGTGACATCGTAGCCATTGTAACATGATAGCACAACACATTATTTATGTGTTTGTAGTGATGCTGGTTTAAACAAACCCACTGCATTGCCAGACATATAAAAGTATAGCACATACAATTATGTACAGTACATAATACTTGATAATAGTAATAATAAATGACCATGTTACTGGTTTTTAAAAAAGAAAGCCAAAGTGGCTATATCAGTAATAGAAAAAGTAAAACAAAAAGGCCTGGTGCAGTGGTTCATGCCTGTAATCCCAGCACTTTGGGAGGCTGAGGTGGGCAGATTACTTGAGGCCAGGAGTTCGAGGACAGCCTGGCCAACATGGCAAAACCCTGTCTCTACTAAAAATACAAAAATTAGCCAGGCATGGTGGTACATGCCTGTAACCCCAGCTACTCAAGTGACTGAGGCACAAGAATTGCTTGAAGCCGGGAGGTGGAGATTGCAGCGAACCGAGATCATGCCACTGCACTCCAGCCTGAGTTACGGAGTGAGATTCTGTCTCAAAAAACAACAACAACAAACGTTACTAGAGATAAAGAGGCACATTTGATAATGTTAAAGAGTTAATCCATCAGGAAATTATAACAATTATAAATATACGCACTAACAAGAGAAAAAATAACATAAAGATTGATAGAATTAAGGGAAGAAGTAGACAATTTAACAATTGTCAAAGATCCCAATACCTAACTTTCAATATTGTATAGAACAAACAGGCAGAAGATCAACAAGAAAATAGAAGAATTGAACAATACCATACACACACACTAGACCTAAAACACATCTATAGTGCACTCTACCAAACAACGAATAATACATACTTTTCTCACATGTACATAGAATACTATCGAGAATTGGAAATATGCCAGGCCATGAAACAAATTGCAATAAATTTAAATAGACTGAAATCTTACAAAGTATATTCTCCAATCATGATAGAGTGAAATCAGAAATCAAGAATGGAAAGAAATTTGGGGAATTAACAATATATGAAAATAAAACAACACACTATCAGTGTATGAAAGAAGAAATCACACAAAAAATTATAAAGTACTTTAAGGTGAATGAAAATCAAGACACAGCTATGTGATGCAGCTAGAGGATGTAGTTAAAACAGCATGTAGAGGAAAATGTATAGCTATAAATGCCTGCATTAAAAAAGAAGACAGATCTCACATCAACAACCTGACCTATCACCTAAGACACTGGAAAAAGAAGAGAAAACTAAACCAAAAGCAATTAGAAGGAAGAAAATAATAAGGATTAGAATGCATATCCACAAAATAGAGAATAGAAAAACATGAAAACCAAGAAAACAAAAAGTTGATTTTTTTAAAAGGTCAACAAAATTGACCAACCTTTAACTAGACCGAACAAGAAAGACTGAGATCCAAATTACTAAAAGTAATTTATGAAATTGATGTCAGAAATGGAAATGGGGCCTTTACTACTGACCTTTTGGAAATAAAGTGAATTACAAGGAAATACTATTAATAACTCTTTGACAATCAGTTAACTAACTTAGAGGAAGTAGACAAATTCCTAGAAAAGACACAAACTGCCAAAACTCACTCAAGAAGAAACAGAAAACCTGAATAGACTCATAACAAATGAAAAGATTAAACTGGTAATTGTTTTTAAAAGTCCAGGACCAGATGGCTTCACCAGTGAGTTTACTAAACATTTAAAGAAGAATTCACACCAATTCTTCACAAACTCTTCCAAATAACAGAAAAGGAGTGCACACTTCCCAATCCATTTGTCAACCCAGAAAATCTGCTACAGGTCTCAGTTAATTTAGAAAGTTTATTTTGCCAAAGTTGAGGACGCACCCATGACATAGCCTCAGGAAGTCCTGACGACATGTACCCAAGGTGGTCAGGCGTGGCTTGGTTTAATACATTTTAGGGAGACATGAGACATCAATCAATATATGTAAGAAGTATATTCAGTCTGGAAAGGTGGGACAACTTGAAGCAAAGGCAGGAAGACTCAAAGCAGGATGGAGCTTCCGGGTCACAGATAGGTGAGACACAAATGGTTGCTTTATTTTGCGTTTCTTATTCGCCTTTACAAAGGAGGCAATCAGATATGCATCTATGTCAATGAGAAGAGGGATAACTTTGTGGGGTTTTTTGTTTTCATTTTTGTTTTGAGACAGAGTCTCGCTCTGTCACCCAGGCTGGAGTGCAGTGGTGCGATCTCGGCTCACTGCAACCTCTGCCTCCCTGCTTCAAGTGATTCTTCTGTCTCAGCCTCCTGAGTAGCTGGAACTACAGGTGCACGCCACCACGCTCAGCTAATTTTTTGTATTTTTGGTAAAGTAGAGACAGGGTTTCACTATATTGGCCAGGCCGGTCTTGAACTCCTGACTTCAGGTGATCTGCTCGCCTCAGCCTCCCAAAGTGCTGGGATTACAGGTGTGAGCCACCATGCCTAGCGAGGGATAACTTTGAATAGAATGGGAGGCAGGTTTGCGTTAAGCAGTTTCCAGCTTGAGTTTTCCTTAGTGATTTTGGGGGCCCAAGATATTTTCCTTTCACAGTATTATGCTGATACCAAAATAAGACAAACATATCACAAGAAAAGAAAACTACAGACCAATGTGTCTTATGAATATTGTCACAAAAATCTTCAACAAAATACCAACGAATCAAATCCAGAATTATACAAGGATTATAAAACATGACCAAGTAGGACTTATCCCAGGAATGCAACATCCAAAAATCAATGTAATATATCACATCAATAGAATAAAGGGAAAAAAGTTCAAAAGAATAAAGTTGGACTCTTAGAGTAAGTCTGCATGACCATACAATGGAATATTACTTAGCAATAACAAAAAGTACTGATGCAGGCTTCAAGATAGATGGACCCTAAAAACAGTATGCTAAAAAGAAAGAAGCCAGTCACAAAGGGCTGTATATTCTATTATTCCATCTATATGAAATATCCAAAACAGGCAAATCGATAGAGATAGAAAGATTAGTGGTTTCCTAGTGGTAGGGGTAGTAAAGGGAATGTGGGGTGATGTCTAAAGACTGGTATTTCTTTCTGGGGTAATGAAAATCTTCAAAAATTGATTGTAGTGATGGTTGTGTAAATCTGTAAATGCTAAAAGCCATTGAATTGTACACTTTAAATGAATTAATTGTATAACATGTGAACTATATCTCAATCTAGTTGAGAATATCTTTGGAATGATATTGGGTATTGAAAATTTAACCCTAGCTCCTTGTGAAATCTCCAGTGGAAGCTAATTATCTGGCTGTAATAGTTGCTCAGAAGCATATAGCTCTAGATTTGCTGGCCATACAACAATGAGGCTTCTGTGCAAATGAATTAGGCCAAATATCCTCTAATGAAATCAGTCATCTTTGTGATCACAATTTTTGAAGTTTGTGATTATAGAGGTGGATTGATAAGAAAAATCATCCAGAAATTTGGAAATACACCAAAAGGATGACTACATGTCCTGCTGACATCACACTAGAGCATGACCTAGTGTGCTCTAAAGGACCATCTGACTCTCTAAGGATATGGATCTTTGTTTGATTGACTATTTACTATTAATTGGGGTCCAGACATTTTACAACCCCGTAAAGTTACATGTTAACTTTAGAAAGTTTGATATGGTACAAATGTGGTTTCTTCCTTGTTTTAGCTTGTACCATCCAGTAGAGATACAAATGATTTCTGTCTCATAGAAAAGATAACCCCAAAGGTTATGATTTTATTGCCCTGTAGGTAATTAACCAATTTTGCATCTAACCTATTAATTTTATTTTAGCATTCCTTGTCATCCTACTGGTTCCTTCATTAAACATCTAAATAAAACTTTGATCCATGCTTTCTATGTATATGTATACAAATTATATTTTTAATATTTTGAAACTATACTTTTTTATTTTTTACTTTTTGTAGTGATGGTGTTTTGTCATGTTGCCCAGGCTGTTCTTGAACTCCTGGGCTCAAGCGAACCGCCCACTCTGGCCTCCCGAAGTGCTGGGATTACAGGCATGAGCCACCACACCAGCTTGAAGACTATACTTTGACAAACTATTTGAAGAGAACACAATGCTAAAACAGATTTCAGAGTTCTTGAACTCATGCCATTCTTCCCAACTGTCAAGAATTGCCAGGCAAAAGGAGGTAATGCAAGATCATGTAGTTCAGAATTTTTGAAAATTGAGTTTGAATCCTGGTTCTGGCACTTATGGTGACCTTGGATGAAGTATTTAATGTCTACGAGCCTCTGTTTTCCCTTCCACAAAATGTGAATGCTACTGCCTAACTGAAGCAGCTTCAATGAGGATGAAATAGAAACAAGTGAAATCATGAATGTGAAAGAACATGTGTCTAGTAAATATTACTTATTTGAATAGATAATATATATGAATGACATGATCATATATAGGATTTTTCCCTAGGCCCTAGAGTAGAGCCTTCATACTATGTACAATTCTTTCCTTCCTGCATTTTCACTAAATTGAAACACTGCATGTCCAAAACTAAAGGGAAAATTAAAAACAATCTAATCCAAATTCTCCCTTTTACAGATGTGGAAACTGAGGCTCAGGGAGGCTGAGTGACTAGCCAAGGCTACCAGCTGACAATTGTTAGAGCCAGACTATGAACCCAGGACAGCTTGACTACTGAGCCTAAGCTCTTTGCCACTCTGCACTAATAATTTTGAGTGGGGTCTGGTTTTATCAAAGTCCTCCCTAAGTTCAAATTTCTGGTTACGATATTTTCCTTTCTATCACCTGCACCTAGGTGCAGAATAAGTGCTCTACTAGTTGAATGAATGAATAAATGAATGATAGGATGACCAGAGGTCAACCAAGACTTCTCTTTCCAGTTCTGAAGTTGTGCCGAAGGCAAAGTCGTATGCTTGAAAAACTATTGTATTAACTCAGAGAGTTCTCCAGAGAAACAGAACCACTGTGTGTGTGTGTGTGTGTGTGTGTGTGTGTGTGTGTGTGTGTGTGTGTGTAGAGAGAGAGAGAACAAGAAAGAGAGATTGATTCTTAAGAAAGTGGCTTACATGATTGTAAAGGCTAGCCAGTCCAAAATCTGCAGGGTAGCCCAGCAGGCTAGAAACCTAGGGAAGACTTGATGTTGCATCTTGAGTCTGAAAGCAGGTTGCTGGCAGAATTCCCCCTTCCTAGGGAAGGTCTATCTTTTTCTTAAGGCTTTCAATTGATTGGATGAGGTCCACCGACATTATGGAGGATAATCTGCTTTGCTCAAAGTTCACTGATTTTTTTTAAGAGGCAAGGTCTTGCTCTGTTACCCAGGCTCGAGTGCAGTGGCACAATCATAGATCACTGCAGCCAAAAACAGAATAGAATTGTAAGACAATAGGATGTTTAGTCTAGAGATGGGAGGACTCATGTAGGCAATGGGGAATCTGAGCAAACCTCTGAAGTATGCCTGGGACAGAGGGAGCCGACCTAGAATCAGAGAGTGTCAGCTGAGAAGAAGCAAATCTCAGTTCACCCAAAGAAAGAATTTTTTTAAAGAGCTGTCCGAAATTGGACAGAACAGGCTTTCTTGGGATGTCATGGGTTCCCTAACACTGGAGGTATGGGAGCAGAGAGATATCGCAGAAGGTTTTCATTGAGGCGGTGGAAGACTGGGGTATGGGGGCAAGGAGTGTGTCACTGGCACAAGGTAATGGTACTAAACTGGCACTAAACAGTACTAAACCATGACTTCTAGTCCTGGCTCTGTCGCTAGTTTGCTATGTGACCTTGAGGAAGTCCCTTCTTCTTTCTATATCTTCAGGCTCCAGAAGTGAAAAGAAGATAGTTCAGTTAAATGTTCTCTGTAGTCACTTGCACCTCCAAAACTTTTTTAAAGCTAAGGCTCAAGGATCTTAAGATTACTACAGTTTTTAATTAAAAGCATACCTGTGTTAGGGTGATCTATTTTGTTTCACTGATGAATCTGTCCTGGCTCAGACATTAGTTTCTCACTTACAGGCCCCTAAACAGCTCGGGTCTTCCCAAAAGTCAGGCAATAAGCACCAGGACTCCTGAAATTACTAGTCTCCCTCTCTTCCCCTTTCTTCCTGAAAAAATTCCCAAAGTTCTGTTTGTTCTATAAATCCTTGGGCAAAATGCCTTCTTACTCTTTGGGGGTAGCTCCACTCACTTGCTAACTCAAAAGAAATAACCTTCTAGCCTGAACATAAGATACAGGAATTTTTATTTTAATTAAAACTTTTGTATTATGGCTGAAAGCCTTCATTGAATTAATGATAAGGAAGGATGGTGAAATGATGAAACTTCTCGAACATGTGGAATTTGAGATAAAACAAAGTGCTAAGCAGACAGGGAGAAAGAAGAGGAAATGGAAGCGTTCTGTTTTATAGCTTTGAAGTGGAGTGATAGTCATATGGTCTCATTAGTGTGGTTATAATTATTTGAATCAATTCTCATGGCTTAATTCCAAAGTGTTCAATTATTACACAGTCATGTAGCTAGAGATAATAGAGTGTCTATTACCAGAAGATATCTCTGTTCAAATTTTTGAAGTAAACTTTCGTCTCAAATATTTATATGCCTTTGCCTATATTTTTCAAAAAAGAATATTTACTTGAACGAAACACTTATTTAGCATTTATTGTATAGCAAAGATTTTATGTGCATTATATTACTTAGTCCTTAAAACAATTCTAGGGTGAAAATGTTATTAACCCCTATTTTACACATCAGAAAACAGAAGCCCAAAGAGGATATGTTAACTTTTCTAAGATTACCCAACAGGAAGTAAAAGAACTGATGCTAAATGTCTTGCATCTGAATGACTCTTATTGAGTTAGGTCCTCTCTGTGCCTCTTTTTCTGCTCATTGAAATGGAGTAATTACTGACCTAGGTAAGGCACAGTGAGATGCACAGGCACAATCAGAATTGCAATGCACACTGCATAATGCACAAGCAGAATCAGACAATTAGCTACATGGTTACAAGAGAGGGTAGAGTAACTGTGAGAATAAAAGGGAAAAAATACTGTTTTGAAACCTATACAGTGTATTTCTATTTAAGAGAGTATTAATAAGTTTTACTTATTAACTTTAAGCATGCACTTAAGTTTCATTTTTGCTTCCAGATTCACCCTCTGCACAGTTCTCCATCCTGCCTTGTGAATGGGAGGTTCATCTGAATGTATCCCATCAGTGGGCCTGGTAGCAGACACTGCCAATCCCTGCGCAAATCTCTTAGGCCTTCTCCACCTCAATGTTTCACAGACTTCCAATTGCCAGTATCTGTATCTTTGTGTCTGAGGGCTTTTCCCAGAAACACAGAAGGTTGGTCTGTCAGTCCAAAAGTATCCAGGAATTAACCCTTTTCTCCAGGAGCAGCCCTCAACCAAAGACTTTAGGAGTATAAATATCCCAACTCCCTCACCCTTCAGTGAAATAATTCTGAGAGGTGTGTTTACATTGTTTCCAGAGTTTCTCTGTGGGACTAGGCTCCAGTCACCCACTATGATAGCTGGCTTAATAACACAATCATACCAGCTGTCTTCTCTTCTTTATTTCACTTCCTCAGTTCCCTACTGGTATACCCTGAACCTTTGAACCTCTCAAATAAATGACTTGCACTTAAACCCTTATCCCACAATCTGCTTCTGAGGGAAACTAAGATAGATTTCCTTGATGTCTAGTTTTCTGGTGGGCTCATCTAAGCGGGAAGCACCAGCAGGAGCTGAGGTGTTTTGCATTCTACCCCCACCCTCACCCCAGGGGCTGCAAGGCTGGCTCTGTGGCCCAATTCCTGTTAGGGGACCCTCTTCACACAGCTCTGTCTGTCTCCAGAGTACAGTAACTGCTCCCACCCTTGCGTCTTCAGGCCTCAGGCCATAAACAGCACCCACCTTTACTAACCCTGTGAACTGCAGTGTTCCTTCCTTTTCATTGCTCTCCACCCCACCCACAATTCCACAAATAGTTCCTATATTAAACTTTCTTCAAATTATCAATTTTAGCCCGCCATCTGTTTCCTGTTGGTACTGTGACTGATTCAGCTGGTTTGATAACTTCTGGGTTTGACCTCAGAGAAGACAGTTGGTTATGGGGACATGTGGGGAGGGCATGAGGCCATGACTAGGACAGTGGAGGGGGCAGAGATGGAAAGAGAAGTATACAGTGTGGCAGAGGTTAACTGTTATGGTGGTGGTAAGGAAAGAACAAAGTATCCCCAAACTTAGCAGCTTAAAATAAACATTTTTTATCTTACAGTTTCTGAGGGTCAGAGTCCAGGAGTTGCTAACCTGGGTGGTTCTAGCTCAGGGTCTCTCACAAGTTTGCAGTCAGGCTGTCATCTGGGTCTGTAATGATCTCTATACTCAAGTGAAGCTGGAGAATCCACCTCTGAGCTCACTCGCTGGTTGCTGGCAGGCCTTAGTCCTCAACAGCTGTGGGCCAGAGGCTTCAGTTTCCTGCCACACAGGCCTTGCTATGGGGTTGCTCACAAAATGGCAGCCTGCTTCTCCCAAACAAATGATACAAGAGAAAGGGTGTGTGTGTGTGTGTGTGTGTGTGTGTGTGTGTGTTTCAGACAGAGAGAGCTCCAGCAAGAGAGGGCCCAATACAGAAGACACAGTCTTTTATAATCTAGTCTCGGAAGTGTCATCCCATCACTTCTGTCATATGCTGTTGGTCACACAGACCAACCCTGGTACACAAGGGTAGAAACACCAGAAGGCAGTGGCCACTGATGGCCAGCTTGGAGGCTCACTTCCACCAGTGCTCAAGAGTAACAAAATTTCCCATTAAACTTCCCTGTGAGGACAGGAAGGCTCTCAGATGAGACAGCTGAAAGTCTAAAAGAACTTCCCAGGAATAAATTGTAAGAGGGGCAACACTGGAAATCCCAATTGTCCAAAACAATTTTTTTAAGAAGCCAACTTAGTGCTGCTCAGAAGTAAAGCTGGAGAGCCAGTGTAACTTTAGACAAATGAATTCCTCTCTCTGAACCTGTTTTCTCACTTGTTAATGAGGGGATTGGGCCATACTCCGTGGCCTAATAACCAATACTTACATACCACTGATATTACTGACAGCGTGCTGCCCTCTACCCACTTTACTTGTATTAACGCATTTTACCTTCACAGCAAGGGGAGAAGCTACTGTGGAGAGTCCTTGGCCCCATTCCAAACGGGCTGGGCTCTCCCACACCAGCATCACCTCAGCCTGAGCTGGAGCACTGAAGATCTGATTAATGTGTTTAGCAACTGACTGATTGGCTCTTTTTCTGGCCTCTTGTGAAATATGCCTTCCTGTGTTGTCATCACCGTGCTTTGTGAGTTGGAACAAAATAAGAGACTGAACAAGTTAGCTTCATTTCTTTTTCTTAAATATAAAAGTGTCTAGTCCTTTCCTGGATGTTTTTATTTTGACCTCAGGGAGAAGAAATAGTCTTGGTAATTTCTGAGGAAATAAACCCCCAGTGGCTGAATTTGGTCAAACTGAAAAACAAACTGTCCCCTGGCCCAACCAGGGCCTCCCTGTTGCCTAACTTCAAGCCATCCCCTCCCACATGGCAGTCTATGGGCATGAGGAAATCCCATAGGCTCTATCTTCAAAATACAGCCAGAATCCGTGCTCTATGGCACTATCTTCTTTTGCTTGGATCACCATTGGAATTTGCTAACTGAGCCCTGATTCTATCCTTGTCTCTCTACAGTCCATTTCCAAAACGATGTCAGGAATGACCCTTGTAAAATGTGGGTTAGATCACATCACTGCTCTGCTTGAAATCCTGCAATGGTTCCACATTCCCTTCAGAGAAAAATTCAACATCCTTTAAATGCCCTTTGAGATCCTACATGAGTGCACCCCCAGCCCCCATTAACTCTGGGACATCATCCCCCAAACCCCTCCCCCGTGCTCACTCCCTAACAATGACACAGGTCTTGCTGCTCCTCACATACGCCTTAGAGACCTTGTTTAGCTCCTTCTGGAAGGCTCTTTCCCCAGATATCCACTGGGCTCTCGCTCTACCTCCTTCAAATCTTTGCTCAAACCTTACCTTTTCAGGAGGGTTACCCTGACCACACAATCCAGAATTGCAATCCTCCCCTCTCCCCCTATTTCTTGTTCTGCCTTCTAAAAGAAGCAACTGCTTAAAGGTGAAAAAGAAAAAAAAAATTTTTTTAGTTGCCAGCTTCCATATGGCAGCAAGTTCCAGATGGTTTAAAATAGTGTTCATCCACTCGACAAATACTAACCGAGGGCTTGCTCTGTGCCAGGCACTGAGTTAGGCAGGAATTCAGTCTTTAATTCCACTTTGCTCAATTCAGTGAGCAATACACTGGTGCTCTCCTAGAAGCAAGCCTCGGGGTTGGGTGGTGAATTGTGCAAGAGGGAGGGTGAGAAACAGTCTCTGTTTGGCCAAATTTTAGTCAGGCTTCTGAATCTTCTGTAGGCCCATCTGTGCACTTCTCATAAAAAGTGGTTTTAGTGGGCCAGGCGTGGTGGCTCATGCCTATAATCCCAGCACTTTGCGGGGCTGAGGAGGGCAGATCATGAGGTCAGGAGATCCAGACCATCTTGGCTAACACGGTGAAAACCCATCTCTACTAAAAATACAAAAAAATTAGCCGGCCGTGGTGGCGGGCACCTGTAGTCCCAGCTACTTGGGAGGCTGAGGCAGGAGAATGGCATGAACCCAGGAGGCGGAGCTTGCAGTGAGCTGAGATTGTGCCACTGCACTCCAGCCTGGGCGATAGAGTGAGACTCCGTCTCAAAAAAAAAAAAAAAAAGGAAAGAAAAATTCAAAGTTCAGTTCAATTCAAAAGCAAAAACAATTCAAAAGATTTCCCAGAATAAAGGCAGGCCAGCAGTCTTTTGCCATGTTTACACTTGGGAAATTAGCTTTAGCCCTGCCACCACCACATTTCCTGGGCAGTAAGGGCCCCCACAGGGGCTAGCATGGATATTGATGAAACAGGGACTTCTTTTTTCTTCCTCCTCTATTCACTTACTATGACTTTTAGATTAGCCTGTAAATAGATTCAACACAGGAAACCCTATAATTAATATAGTTTTCAAGTAGGAAAGCAAAAGTGGGGAAGGCAGCCAGGGCAGGTGGCCAGCATTGGTGAGAGCAGTTCCCCAGATTCCTAAGCTGTAGAAAACCCTAAGTCTTTGAGGTCAGAGCCCAGATTCGGTCCCCTTCACAAGACCTCATTTGACCAAAGTCTGACTAACTTCCAGTTTTTTCCATTATTATTGTGGATTTACTCTGAAGGACTCTTTATAAAAATGAAAACCACTTTGGGTTTTTCATACTTGGGATATTTAGGGAGCATTTCTTCCATGTGCTTAGTACTTCATACCTTACAAAATGCTTTCACAGCCTGGATGATTTTTTATTTTCACCAAGGCAGGGATTATTCTTCTCATTCTATGTGTCTTGAAACAAGACTCTGAGGTGTAAATGTCTTTTTCAAGATCACATAGCTAGAAAGTGCCAAAAGTATCCACTCAAATTTGATAATATGCCAGGTGGGCAAAACAGTGGGAAATGGATAGCTCATACACTTATAGTGAGAGTGTAAATTGGCCTAGAATTTCACAAGGGCTTATTGCCAGTATTTATTAAATGTGGATATCCTTTGATCTGCCAGTTCAACTTTAGGGTCTCTGTATTAGCCTGAGTTCCCCCTAGAAAGCAGAGCTCAAAATGAGATTCTGCAGGCAGGAAGCCAGGATTGAGAAGTGAATGAGGGTGAGTCCAGGGCTGGGTAGAGTGAAAAAGCAACACAAGGCTACATTATCAAGCTGGTCACCATTGTGCATAACTAGGACTCGATCCTGCTAGAACCCTGAGCCTTTGAGGATGGAAAGTATCTCATTTATCGCTAGTTCCCTCCCCAGTACCTGGCATGTAGCAGGGACAAGATAATTGGCCACTTAATTATTTAAAATCAGTGCTCTAAAAAGTGTCTGTTTTATGTGGATTCAGCTCAAGTCTCCAGCCTTTCTGTACCTGCAGGCTCTGGGACTTCATTTTAACAGCATAGTCCAGAAAAGGGAATTTAAACTCAGTAGAGACTAGTTTATAAACCAGAAAACCAACGAATTCATTAACCTAAAGAAATAATTGCAAATGAGTTGGCTAGTAATATATTCTCTCCTAGGAGCAGATGTCACCTATGAAACTAAATTAGTGCCAGGCTATTGCTTGGTGAACAAGTAATGACTTTTAGGCTCAATTGGTAAAGCGTGACATAAATTGTGAGATTAGCACTGTATAAGCTGAAAAGGTCTATATAAATGTAAGGTATTATTAACATCACCATATTAGAAAATATGCTGGAGGGAGTATACATAGGGGTTATACCTGCAAGCACTAGAGTCAGAGAGAAAAGGGTTCTACCTCCATCTATGAAACCTTATAGAGGAGTCACTGCACTTCCCTGTGCCTCAGTTTCCTGCTCTGTAAAATAGAAATAATGATAGCCACATGCTTTTTGGAGCTGTTGTAAGAATTAAATTAGACAATGTATGTAAAGTTTTGACACAGTGTGCTGCACTTAATAAGTGCTCAATAAATGTTTGCTAATAGTATTCAGTTCCCTTTCTTCTCAATCACCAACTCTAACGTCAGACAGGTAATAATACAACACTACTACAATTATAAAAATGTAGACCTGGTGGCAGGCAACAGAGGCTCCAGTTTCTGCTAGGCAGTTCTAGGTGGTCATTTTACATACTGGGGAGTCCCAGTTAGAGAAAGGGAGTCAGGCTAGTGGGACCAAGGGATAGCAAGAAGAGCAGATGCACTCTAAGTCTGCCTTTCTTCATGGTGCAGGACACGTAGCCCTCCTGTGCAAATAACTCACAATCTTCCTGCACTCAGCTATCACGAGACACATGCAAGTTAGCTCCCTGTAACCTTGGAGTTCTCGGTACTGCACAGCACTCTGCAGCCCAAGAACCATCGGATAAAATCTCCAGCAAGCCTTTGTTTCCTTGAAGTCAGCTCCTCTCTGGCTGGTCTGCCCATTGCAACCTTTCAACGTATTTTCATACCTTCTCTAATAAATCTGCATTTCTTTACCTAAAACTGTTGATAAATTATTTTCCCACCCATGTAATACCAGTCTCACGTAGTCGCTGCTCACCCAAGAGGCAGACCTGAGCCTTAGTTTACACATTAGAAAAACGTAGACGCCTACCAACATTGTTCATTCATTGATTTCATTCCCTCCTTTTCATACTTATTGAAGGTCCACAATACAGACTTAGACCTAACGCTAACTATGTACTCAAAAACCTGCGTTTCAAATGAGATAATGTATGTGAAAGTTCCCAAAGGCCATTGGCAAGACTCAGAAGACAGTGCTGGTGTGACTCCTGTCTTGCAGTCCCCACGGAGCCCTGTCCCTTTGAGACCTTCCATTTGTCTCCTGGATGCTCGCCTGTTAAGTGGGGCAGAGGAGGCCGTCGTAAATAAGACAAAAGATCAGGCTTCCATTCTGGAAGAAAAGAATAAAAGGAGCTCACTGAGTCCAGACCTAATGGCAGTAAGGGCAGTGGACGCTCACAAAAGCGCTGGGGGACGGGCCCAGAGTTGGGGAGAAAACAGGGATCCCAGCTGCGCACGCGCGCTCTGGTTTTCGACGGGCGCAGAGCCGGACGAGGTGGGAAACCTAACGTCAAAGTCTACGTAGGAAGTCGTAGGGAAGGCAGCGAGGAAGACGCTGGCTCTCGGGTCACGTGATGCGCCGGGAGCGTCATCGCCTCCTCCCTCCCCAAGATGGCGTCCTTGCTGCAGTCGGACCGGGTTCTCTATCTAGTCCAGGGAGAAAAGAAGGTTCGGGCCCCGCTCTCGCAACTCTACTTCTGCCGCTATTGTAGCGAACTGCGGTCGCTGGAATGTGTGTCTCACGAGGTAACAGAGTCGCCCTATAGCGAGTATGTGGGGTGGGGGGGGCGCGGCGTTCATGCTAGTCACTGCCACCGGAAGGCTGGAGCTATTTTCCTTCCTTACTGATTGGTTATGTCTTCCGTCACTCGGGTTTGCCTGCGATTTAATTTGCTTCTAATCTGTCACTTGGAAAGGAGGAGCAGCCTCGGGTGGGACTGAGCGGATCTTCTGGTTCTAGAGCGGCCTCTGATTGGACAAACTTGACTTAGGGACCGTGTCTGTCTGCGATGGGGCTTGGTAATTGGGTGGACTACGGAGAAAGGTCTGGGGGTGCTTAGTTCAGGCCACTTAAGGGGCGAAAAACTGCCTTTCCAGGATTTATTGCGAGGATGGAGGGAGGCGCAGGCGTTCTCATTCATAGTTCTCCCATCCTGAAAGTTCTGTTCCTCTTTTGTCCAGAAACTGGGCCCTCGTCAGACTGCCTTGCCCTGTTCCTGACTCAGGCCAAGGCCTGCAGCCGGGAAGAGGTTGGGGCGGCGTGAGTTATGTGAAAAGCGCTCAGAATACAGTATGTCATGTAAGAAGCTGAAAGTGTATTTATGGAGCTAGAGGACAATGCTGTCCTTCCCTGGCACAAGTGGGCGTCCGAAGTTGGATTTTTCAAAAAGAAGACCCCGGCCAGTAAAAAGTCACCAAATAACAAAACCCCAAAACTTCTGCAGCGCTTGGCACATCTTGTTTATTCAGTAAGCTTTAGGGATTAAAAGGCGAGTAAGACATAAAATGCGCTGTTTAATAAGCCATAGTCTTAGTGAAGAAAAAGCTGATAGTAGTAATAGTTGCTGCTTATTCGATACTTGCTATATGTCATGTGCTTTATGTAATCTTCAAACCAATTTAAGTGGATACTTTTTTTAAAAAATTTTTTTTACAGGTAAAGAAACAGATACAGAGTGTTCGCTGTAAGTCACACAGCCAGTAATTTGGGGGTGGGAAGGAGGACCTGGATTTGAATCTAAACAGCCTAACTCAGAGTGTTTTTTACTGAAGATCCCGGGACTGTTAAAATAAATGCATATGAAAACACATACTATAAGCCATTTTATGTGTTATTAATAACTTATTTTATTGAAGATACTTTTCATAATAGGAATAGTCAAGAAAAGCAATTAAATAATACAAGAAAAATCGTATATATTAAAAATATGGCATCGATTTTTCTTCTCATCTCCATTAGCACTTTCCTTATGTGTATCTCCTTGATGATTCCCTATTCCAGCTCCACCTCCAGAATTTATTGGATCATATTCTCCTGTGGTGAATAGAGTGCTCAGTCTCCATGATCTGTCTCTAAGACTCTCTTCAATTAGGACATCCAGTCTGTGACAGCATCTTTTACAGCCTGATGTGTACCTGTGATATGGAGGCCATTAGAGTTTAGGGAAAGATGAAGCTCTGAGGGCTGGGGCAGGCAGTGAAGTTCTAATGGAGAATCTGGGTCTGGAGCTGCACATGAACGGACAAGCAGAATTTGGAAAGGGGGCAAAAAGGAATGACTTGTATTTTGCCTTTTTTGATGAGTCAGTGCAGAGGTTAGTTAGCAATATTGTATTTTATGTTCCTGGAGATTATTTGAGCAACAACTTTATTAATCTTTTCAAATTGACCTGTTTATAGCAGATGATGAAAAAAGCCAGTTTCTATCATAGTATTTATGTTCCAGTGATTGTCTTTTCATTTGCAGGTGACTAGAGTTCTATAATTGTCAAATAGGACCTACATTAAAGAAAATAATTATTCAGACTTTTAAAAAATAAAATGAACTTAAATTTTAGACTCCAGTTTTTTAAGTACAATAAGACTGTCCCATTAATTTGTTTAAAAATCTCTAATTGGTTGGCCATAGCTGACTATGTAAATAAATATTTATGCTTGCCTTCAGTCAACCTGTATTACTTCAATAATGAGAAATCTTTAAAAAAATGTCCTTCAAAACCTAAAAGTATGGTCAAGTTTTATAGTCATATAAAGCTAGCCTAGACAGGAGGATATTTTATCACAATGTTACAAATTGGATTATTTTATTAATCTCTTTATTAATCATAGAATTCTATGGAGTTCAACTGGAAATTGTAGATTGTTAAATAAACAACTTTTAACACATAAAACCCTGATGATGGAATAGGAAAGATCAGAAAAATAGAAGGATTTTTTAAATCCGGAAGAAGAAGAAAAAAAAAAAACAGGTGACTGAAGAAGAATAAACCCTAAGCAGAAAACAGTCTACTTTCTGCTACAGTATAACATATTTTAAAATTCACTATTTGACAAGACATATACACAAGTTAAACTGAGTTCTCCTCTGGTTTTTTTTTTCTTTCTTGTTTCCTCCTAGGTGGACTCCCATTATTGTCCCAGTTGTTTAGAAAATATGCCATCGGCTGAAGCCAAACTAAAAAAGAATAGGTAAGACCTGGACTGATTTTTTTTTTCTTCCTATTTTCCTTGACTGTTCTCTAAAATAGCTAGTTAAAAAGACACATGGGCCAGGCATGGTGGCTCACGCCTGTAATCCCAGCACTTTGGGAGGCGGAGGCAGGGATCACGAGGTCAAGAGGTTGATACCATCCTGGCTAACATGGCGAAACCCCATCTCTACTAAAAATACAAAAAATTAGCTAGGTGTGGTGGCACGCGCCTGTAGTCCCAGCTACTTGGGAGGCTGAGGCAGATGAATTGCTTGAACCTGGGAGGCAGACATTGCAGTGAGCCAAGATTGTGCCACTGCACTCCAGCCTGGGCAACAGAGCAAGTCTTTGTCTCAAAAAAAAAAAAAAAAAAAAGACACATGAAATTAACTTTTTTAACCAGCTCTTTTTCATTTTTAAGCATCACCATTGCCAAAGATGAAATCCCCTTTGATTTTTGAAATAGATTTTCTACTTTAGAACAGTTTTGTACTTCAGAATTATGGTGAAGATAGTATGGAGAGTTCCCATTTACCTCACATCCAGTCTCCCCTATTGTTAACTTTTTACATTAGTGTGGTATATTTGTTACAATTAATGAACCAATACACTACATTTTATTCAGATTTCCTTAGTTTTTCTGTGGTCTCCTTTTTTTCCAGGATTCTTTTCAGGATATCACATTATATTTATAGTTATGTCTCTAGACTCCTCTTGGGTGTGGTGTGATAGGAGAATCTTAAAATTTCCTTGGTTTTGATGACCTCAAAAGTATTGAGGAGTACTGGTGAGGTATTTTATAGAATGTCATTTCATTAGGATTTGCATGATGTTTTTTTCTCATCAGACTAGGGGAATGTATTTTGCGGAGGAGAACCACAGAGGTAAAGTGCCATCTTTGATTACATCATATCAAGGGTAAATACTTATGACTTGTCACTGTTGGTGTTAACCTTGATTATCTGGCTTGAGCTAGTGTTTGTCAGGTTTCTCCACTGTAAAGTTACTGCTTTTCCTTCTTTTTTTGTACTCTACTTTTTGGAAGGAAAATTACTGTCACAGCCCATAAAGACTAGAGAATTATGCTCCCCTGTCCTTGAGGACTATCTGCATAAATTATTTGGATTTGGAATTCTTTTGCATGGAAGATCTGTCTCTTCTCCTCTTGTTTATTTGTTTTTTAAATCACTTACTTATAGGACAGTGGGATTATGAATATTCATTTTATATTTTGGCTTGTAATCCAATACTACTTTATTTATTTTGCTCAAATTATTTCAGCTTTGGCCATTGGGAGCTCTTTCAGTTGACTCCTAGATCCCTTTGACATACCCCCATCATTAGGAGCAGGAGAGAGTTCTCTGTTCATTACTTTGATCATTTTCTTACCAGTACTACAAGATACTCCAGACTCATCTTGTGTGTATGTTTTGTGTGTATTTTTTTTTTTTTGAGACAGGGTCTCACTTTGGCGCCTAGGTTGAAGTGCAGTGGTGCAATCTTGGCTCACTGCAACCTCAACCTCCCAGGCTCAAGCAGTCCTTCCACCTCAGCCTCCTGAGTAGCTGAGACTAGGCACATGCTACCACACCTGGATAATTTTTGTATTTTTTTGGAGAGATAGGCTTTTGCCATGTTGCCCAGGCTGGTCTTGAACTCCTGGCTCAAGCACTTCACCTGCCTTGGCCCAAAGTGCTGGGATTACAAGCGTGAGCTGCTGTGCCCAGCCTCATCTTGTATATTTTCTGTCTCAGTCTTAGAGTTGTTTCTCCAAGGAGCCTTGGTTCACTTTATTGGAGAATAGTCTTAGAAACCAAGATATGGCTGCTAGGCTTGCTCATTGCTACTGGATGGTGTTTAGTTTTTAGCTTGAAGTGAAAGTCCTTTTGCTGTTAGTCATACCCCCATACCTTTATGGATGTGAACCACTATTATTTGTCTTTCCTGCCCTGAGAAGTAACCCCTGATAACCAGATACTGTTTTGTATACTTTCCACAAATTAATTTTTATCATTTAATCCTCAAAGCTTCCTTGTAAGGTGAGTACTATTATTATCTTCTTTTGATAGTATCCAGATGGCAGACTATAACAGATAATGCAAGTTATATTATAGAACAGAACTTCAAGCAGGTACAGGACTGCAGGTGAAATCTTGATAATCTGTGCTGGTGGGAGAGTTAAAAGCAAGAAGACATAGGGACCTCCTAAAGGAGAAATGTTGGCTGAGCACTAGGAAAAGTAGCATTTAAGGAGAGAACAGAAAGCCCTGAAAATATGCTGCTTCTGAACCATTCCAGTTTGATAGCATTGTTTGCTTTCTGTTGAAGCTCTCTGGCACAGCAGTCGGTTATTTTCCAAATCCAGTTTCACAGCTTCTTGTATTGTTGACTCTAAGTTTTCTATGGCACAGTTGGTCTGTCCTCTCTAAAGGCATAAGCTGTGACAGTTCTCTTCCTCAGAAATCTTTGTGATCAATATAAGCATAAAAAGAGTCTGGAATCATAAACTCCATCTGTTAACAATGGTTCTCTCTGTGGAGTAGGATTGGGTTGGGCTCTAATTCTTACTTTGGCGATAACTGCATATTTTTTAAACTAATGAACATATAGTACTCTTGAACTGTTAAAGCAAAGTTGGTAAGAGGCCTGCAGAATGTTACTGTTTTTTCTTGAGAGACACTTGTCCTTATATTTGTTCTCTCTTGAATTCCTTGATAAATATTTGTTGAATGAATGGTTGTGTTTGTCATGTCACAGATGTGCCAATTGTTTTGACTGTCCTGGCTGCATGCACACCCTCTCTACTCGGGCCACGAGCATCTCCACACAGCTTCCAGATGACCCAGCCAAGACCACCATGAAGAAAGCCTATTACCTGGCATGTGGATTTTGTCGCTGGACGTCTAGAGATGTGGGCATGGCAGACAAATCTGTAGGTGAGTGAGATGGACTTCAATATGAAATTTTGTACAATTGACAGTGCTATAATTGCCCATAGATTATTATTTCTGTAACCCGTTGGGGCGATAGGAGCTAAATTCAGAATATTTTGTCATTAACTCTTCTGTGTTCCCATATGTTCACATTTGTAGACCTTAGTGTTTTATCTGAGATGGGATAATATTTAGTTTTCTTAGACTTGATAAAATAGCTTTTATAAATCTGGTACTTTCTTGGAATCAAAATATTAATGCTCTTCATGAAAAATAAACATTCATGTTAAGACATCATGGATAAAACTAAAAGATAAGGCCGGGCACGGTGGCTCACGCCTGTAATCCCAGCACTTTGGGAGGTTGAGGCGGGCAGATCACAAGGTCAGGAGATCGAGACCATCCTGGCTAACACAGTGAAACCCCGTCTCTACTAAAAAATACAAAAATTAGCTGGGCGTGGTGGGGGCACCTGTAGTCCCAGCTACTCGGGAGGCTGAGGCAGGAGAATGGCGTGAACCTGGGAGGCAGAGCTTGCGGTGAGCCGAGATCGGGCCTCTGCACTCCAGCCTGGGTGACAGAGCAAGACTCTGTCTCAAAAAAAAAAAAAATCTTTAAAGATAAAAATGACAAACTAAGAAAAATAGTTGGGTCTTATATAACAGGCTAAAGATGAATACTCAGAAATGAGGAACGCTTATAAGTCAATAAGAAAAAGACTTAGTAGAAAAACAGGCAAAGGATATGAGCAGCAATTCTCATAGTAGAAATAAAAATGGTCAATGAATATGCAAAAAGATGTATTCGACTTCCCTAGTAGTCATGTAAATGCAAATTAAAGCTTCCTTCTATTTGGTACAACATGTTTAATCTGGTTGTATCAAGTGTTGGCTAGAACATAGGAGAATAGTTCTCTCATACACTATGGTAGTCTATCTTGGAGACCAATTTTAAAACATTTATTAAAATTTTAAATTGCTTATATCCTTCTGCCCAGTAATTCAATGTCCAAATGTCTGTCCTGGAGCATTCAAACATGTGCTCAAAAACTTTTACGTATATATATAAAATGTTTATCAGTGAAAGAGAAAAATTGGTATGTTTGGATTTAAGACCACCTAAGGCATTATATACCTCCATCATTTGAGTGTTTGAGTGTTTTAGAACAGATTACACTTAATTTTATCACGAAACTTTATTTTTGCAAATTCTGTATTTCATGGTTAACATCATAGAGTGGAAACATTCTCTGTACAGTCAGTTCAAAATCTTGAGTTGCTTTTGATTTAAGTGATCCAAAGTTTAAAAAAAATTAATAAAATCTTGAGTTGCTATTTATGCTTTATATAAGTAGTAGCATCACTAACTCCGTATTTTTTTTTCTGAGGTTTCATTGTTTAATTTTCTAAAAACATTTTAAACTTGTAAAAATTCTCATTTTGGGATTTTCATAAAAAGTACAGCTTATTGACTAATAAATGAGGAAGCTCATAACAAATTCATTATATGTCATTTGACATAACTAAAATGAAGCAGACTGGCTAAAACCTTTCTATAGATTCTTACACAATTTGGAAGTAAATATGGGTGAAGTTCTTTAGATTCAACTATGTTCTTAAAAATTTAATCCTTGATTCTATTGAATTTGCTCTTTGGTTTAGAATGCTTTGAGCTGTTGATGGTTTTTCTGACTTTGTACATTGAGTTGATAAAATACATACTCTTTTCAAAAACAGAAAGTTAAATAAGTATATCTTAGTTCCTTAAAAATGCTCATTGGTGGGTAGCTATTTACCTGAAGTGTGACTGAAAATAGAAAGATTCTGTAACATCTTTGAAAATTGCCAGTAAGTATTTATGTGTATATGTTTTAGTGTCAGTATAGGAGATAAGTTAAAGAAAGTAAGTTAAATGTTAAAAAGCAACCTCAAAGTGGCATAATGTAGGCCTCAGTGAACTAAAGTATTGTTTTTTCATGTTTGTATTTTGTGTCTTTTTATCAAGTAAAAGAAACAGCCCGGAAATCCAAGTAGATTTCTCAGTTTGTTACTCTGTTAGTGAGTGTTTTATGCTTTTTGGTTTATGAGTCATGAAGATTGGAGAATTTATATTTCAGAACTATAAACTTATGCTGGCTTCTAGAACTGTATCTCCTCTAGGGTATCTCAACAGGGATAATTGAATACCAGGAGCTCTTAAAGCGTACAGATAATTTCATTTCCTCCTTGATGTCATTGGTATCTCAGAAGCCCTGAAACCACTTAAGTTAGAACTATTTGTTTATTTATAAGTACTTGTCTGTAATGTACGGAGAAAAACTTACAATGAGATTATTATGTCTCCCAAATTGCTACTTAGAATAAATTACCAGTTCAAAAGAAGCAATTAGATAAAATATTCAGACGTTTAAAAATATTACAGCTGAAACATTTCTTTCACATAATTATTTTTCATGATTGCCTTAAGTGAGGCAACTTCTAAAATAATATTATACTAAAGTGTTATTTCTGCCATTTCTTGCAAGAGGATACAATGTCACCTTCAGCAAGGTAATTGCGTCCTTTTTGTTTTGAAAAAAGTGATTTTATATGAAATATGTATATTCATGTACTTATCACCCAGTTTAAGAAATGAAACAGCCAAAACAGTTTAAGCCCTCCCCCTACTTTATCTTCCTCTCTGCCCGCTAGAGATAATAATCACAATCCTGAATTCAGTGTTTATTAGCATCCATACATGTCTTTATACTTCTCCACATATGTATGCAGCCACAAACAAATAACATTTTTCACTTTTAAGCAAATGAAAACATACTGTATATATCCTGCTACAACTTTACTCTATCAGCATTATGTTTCTGATACACAGTTGATTCCTGTATGACTCACCACAGTTTACTTATTCCGTCTTCTCTTAATGAACATTTAGGTTGTTTTCATTTTCTTTGCTTTTGAAAAAATATAGCTGCTGGAAGCAATCTTGTATGTGTTTCCTAAGGCACAAGTGTAAGGACTTTTCTATATAACTAGAAGTAAAATTGCCAGTCATAAGTTGTGTACATCCTTAGCACTCCAAAATGATTTAGCAGTCTTTGCTCCTAGTAGTAATATGTAAGAGTAAACTACCTGTAGCTCCAGTTCCTTGTCAGCTCTTAGTACTTTTGGACTCTAAAATTTTTCCAGACTGATGGTTGTGAAATGGTATCTCATTATACTTTTATTTTTCCCTTTATTTGGCTAGCTTTACCAATATATAATTTATATATAATAAAGCTTACCAATTTTAAGTGTAGAATTCTGTGATGTTTGACAAGTGTGTAATCACATAGCCACCACCATAATCATGATACACAACATTTCTGTCCCCCTAGAGAATCCTCATGCCCCATTGCAGTCAGTTTCTTCCCCCAACCTCCCGGCCCCTGACTAGACTGATATGCTTTCTATCACTAGAATTTTGCCTTTTCTAGAAGTGTATGTAATTGGAGTCTTACATTACAGTCTTTCCTGTCTGTCTTCTTTTATTTAGCATAATGCTATTGAGGTTCATCTGTGTTTCTTCTTTATATTATTTCTTCTTATTGTTGAGTAGTATTCTGTTGTATGAACATGTTTGTTTATTCATTCTCCACTTGAACATTTGGATTGTTTTTGGGTTTTGGCTTATGTGAATAAAGGTGCTATGAACATTTGCCTATAACTCTTTGTGTGAATATATGTTTTCATTTTTCTTAAGTGCCAAAGAGTGAAATTATTAGGTCATAGGATAAGTGTATGTTTAATTTGTCTAGAAGCTGCCAAACTATTTTTATTTTTTTTTATTTTTTAAAGTAGAGATGGGGTTTCTCCATGTTACCCAGGCTGGTCTCCAACTCCTGGACTCTAGCAGTTCTCCTGCCTCAGCCTCCCAAAGTGCTGGGATTAAAAGCATGAACCACTGCACCTGGCCAATGCCCAACTGTTTTCCAAAGTGACTGAACAATTTTGGATCCTCCCCAGCAAATTAGGAGAGTTCCAATCCCTTGACAACCCTTGCCATATTGTCAGTCTTACCCATTTTAGCCATTCTAGCACATGTACAGCAGTACTTCACTGTGGTTTTAATTTGCATTTTCTCATTGTGTTTGTTTACCAGCCATATATCTTTGGTGAACTGTCTGTACAAATCTTTTCCCTACTTTTTAACTGGGTTTTGTTGTTGTTGGTTTGTTTTGATTTGGTTTTTTAAACTGAGTTATAAGAGTTCTATATTCTGGATACAAGTCCATTGTTGAATATATGTTTTGCAAATATTTACTCCCAGTCTGTGCCTTGCCTTTTCCTTTTCTCAGCAGTGTGTGTTGAAGAACTCAAGTTTCTAATTTCAGTGAAGTCTAATTTACCAATTTTTTTATTTTATAGTTTGTGTTTTTTGTGTCCTATTAAAAAAACTTTAGCCTAACCCAGTGTCACTAAGATCTACCCATGTTTTCTTCTAGAAGTGCTGTAGTTTTAACACTTACATTTAAGTCTTGCTCTTTTCTTTTTTTCTTTTTTTTTCTTATTATTATACTTTAAGTTTTAGGGTACATGTGCACAATGTGCAGGTTAGTTACATATGTATACATGTGCCATGCTGGTGTGCTGCACCCATTAACTCGTCATTTAGCATTAGGTATATCTCCTAATGCTATCCCTCCCCCCTCCCCCCACCCCACAACAGTCCCCAGAGTGTGATGTTCCCCTTCCTGTGTCCATGTGTTCTCATTGTTCAATTCCCATCTATGAGTGAGAACATGCGGTGTTTGGTTTTTTGTCCTTGTGATAGTTTACTGAGAATGATGATTTCCAATATCATCCATGTCCCTACAAAGGACATGAACTCATCATTTTTTGTGGCTGCATAGTATTCCATGGTGTATATGTGCCACATTTTCTTAATCCAGTCTATCATTGTTGGACATTTGGGTTGGTTCCAAGTCTTTGCTATTGTGAATAGTGCCGCAATAAACATATGTGTGCATGTGTCTTTATAGCAGCATGATTTATAGTTCTTTGGGTATATACCCAGTAATGGGATGGCTGGGTCAAATAGTATTTCTAGTTCTAGATCCCTGAGGAATCGCCACACTGACTTCCACAACGGTTGAACTAGTTTACAGTCCCACCAACAGTGTAAAAGTGTTCCTATTTCTCCACATCCTCTCCAGCACCTGTTGTTTCCTGACTTTTTAATGATTGCCATTCTAACTGGTGTGAGATGGTATCTCATTGTGGTTTTGATTTGCATTTCTCTGATGGCCAGTGATGATGAGCATTTTTTCATGTGTCTTTTGGCTGCATAAATGTCTTCTTTTGAGAAGTGTCTGTTGATATCCTTTGCCCACTTTTTGATGAGGTTGTTTTTTTCTTGTAAATTTGTTTGAGTTCATTGTAGATTCTGGATCTTAGCCCTTTGTCAGATGAGTAGGTTGCGAAAATTTTCTCCCATTTTGTAGGTTGCCTGTTCACTCTGATGGTAGTTTCTTTTGCTGTGCAGAAGCTCTTTAGTTTAATTAGATCCCATTTGTCAATTTTGGCTTTTGTTGCCATTGCTTTTGGTGTTTTAGACATGAAGTCCTTGCCCATGCCTATGTCCTGAATGGTAATGCCTAGGTTTTCTTCTAGGGTTTTTATGGTTTTAGGTCTAACATTTAAGTCTTTAATCCATCTTGAATTAATTTTTGTATAAGGTGTAAGGAAGGGATCCAGTTTCAGCTTTCTACATATGGCTAGCCAGTTTTCCCAGCACCATTTATTAAATAGGGAATCCTTTCCCCATTGCTTGTTTTTCTCAGGTTCGTCAAAGATCAGATAGTTGTAGATATGCGGCATTATTTCTGAGGGCTCTGTTCTGTTCCATTGATCTACATCTCTGTTTTGGTACCAGTACCATGCTGTTTTGGTTACTGTAGCCTTGTAGTATAGTTTGAAGTCAGTTAGTGTGATGCCTCCAGCTTTGTTCTTTTGGCTTAGGATTGACTTGGCAATGCGGGCTCTTTTTTAGTTCCATATGAACTTTAAAGTAGTTTTTTCCAATTCTGTGAAGAAAGTCATTGGTAGCTTGATGGGGATGGCATTGAATCTATCAATTACCTTGGGCAGTATGGCCATTTTCTTGATATTGATTCTTCCTACCCATGAGCATGGAATGTTCTTCCATTTGTTTGTATCCTCTTTTATTTCCTTGAGCAGTGGTTTGTAGTTCTCCTCGAAGAGGTCCTTCACGTCCCTTGTAAGTTGGATTCCTAAGTATTTTATTCTCTTTGAAGCAATTGTGAATGGGAGTTCACTCATGATTTGGCTCTCTGTTTGTCTGTTATTGGTGTATAAGAATGCTTGTGATTTTTGTACATTGATTTTGTATCCCGAGACTTTGCTGAAGTTGCTTATCAGCTTAAGGAGATTTTGGGCTGAGACGATGGGGTTTTCTAGATATACAATCATGTCATCTGCAAACAGGGACAATTTGACTTCCTCTTTTCCTAATTGAATACCCTTTATTTCCTTCTCCTGCCTGATTGCCCTGGCCAGAACTCCCAACACTATGTTGAATAGGAGTGGTGAGAGAGGGCATCCCTGTCTTGTGCCAGTTTTCAAAGGGATTGCTTCCAGTTTTTGCCCATTCAGTATGATATTGGCTGTGGGTTTGTGATAGATAGCTGTTATTATTTTGAGATACGTCCCATCAATACCGAATTTATTGAGAGTTTTTAGCATGAAGGGCTGTTGAATTTTGTCAAAGGCCTTTTCTGCATCTATTGAGATAATCATGTGGTTTTTGTCTTTGGCTCTGTTTATATGCTGGGTTACATTTATTGATTTGCGTATGTTGAACCAGCCTTGCATCCCAGGGATGAAGCCCACTTGATCATGTTGGATAAGCTTTTTGATGTGCTGCTGCATTCGGTTTGCCAGTATTTTATTGAGGATTTTTGCATCAATGTTCATCAAGGATATTGGTCTAAAATTCTCTTTTTTGGTTGTGTCTCTGCCCAGCTTTGGTATCAGGATGATGCTGGCCTCATAAAATGAGTTAGGGAGGATTCCCTCTTTTTCTATTGATTGGAATAGTTTCAGAAGGAATGGTACCAGTTCCTCCTTGTACGTCTGGTAGAATTTGGCTATGATTCCATCTGGTCCTGGACTTTTTTTGATTGGTAAGCTATTATTGCCTCAATTTCAGAGCCTGTTATTGGTCTATTCAGAGATTCAACTTCTTGCTGGTTTAGTCTTGGGAGAGTATATATGTCGAGGAATTTATCCATTTCTTCTAGATTTTCTAGTTTATTTGCATAGAGGTGTTTGTAGTATTCTCTGATGGTAGTTTGTATTTCTGTGGGATCGGTGGTGATATCCCCTTTATCATTTTTTATTGCATCTATTTGATTCTTCTCTCTTTTTTTCTTTATTAGTCTTGCTAGCGGTCTATCAATTTTGTTGATCCTTTCAAAAAACCAGCTCCTGGATTCATTAATTTTTTGAAGGGTTTTTTGTGTCTCTATTTCCTTCAGTTCTGCTCTGATTTTAGTTATTTCTTGCCTTTTGCTAGCTTTTGAATGTGTTTGCTCTTGCTTTTCTAGTTCTTTTAATTGTGATGTTAGGGTGTCAATTTTGGATCTTTCCTGGTTTCTCTTGTGGGCATTTAGTGCTATAAATTTCCCTCTACACACTGCTTTGAATGTGTCCCAGAGATTCTGGTATGTTGTGTCTTTGTTCTCGTTGGTTTCAAAGAACATCTTTATTTCTGCCTTCATTTTGTTATATACCCAGCAGTCATTCAGGAGCAGGTTGTTCAGTTTCCATGTAGTTGAACGGTTTTGAGTGAGTTTCTTAATCCTGAGTTCTAGTTTGATTGCACTGTGGTCTGAGAGACGCTTTGTTATAATTTCTGTTATTTTACATTTGCTGAGGAGAGCTTTACTTCCAACTATGTGGTCAGTTTTGGAATGGGTGTGGTGTGGTGCTGAAAAAAATGTATATTCTGTTGATTTGGGGTGGAGAGTTCTGTAGATGTCTATAAGGTCTGGTTGGTGCAGAGCTGAGTTCAATTCCTGGGTATCCTTGTTAACTTTCTGTCTCGTTGATCTGTCTAATGTTGACAGTGGGGTGTTAAAGTCTCCCATTATTATTGTGTGGGAGTCTAAGTCTCTTTGTAGGTCACTCAGGACTTGCTTTATGAATCTGGGTGCTCCTGTATTGGGTGCATATATATTTAGGATAGTTAGCGCTTCTTGTTGAATTGATCCCTTTACCATTATGTAATGGCCTTCTTTGTCTCTTTTGATCCTTGTTGGTTTAAAGTCTGTTTTATCAGAGACTAGGATTGCAACCCCTGCCTTTTTTTGTTTTCCATTTGCTTGGTAGATCTTCCTCCATCCTTTTATTTTGAGCCTGTGTGTGTCTCTGCATGTGAGATGGGTTTCCTGAATACAGCACACTGATGGGTCTTGACTCTTTATCCAATTTGCCAGTCTGTGTCTTTTAATTGGAGCATTTAGTCCATTAACATTTAAAGTTAATATTGTTGTGTGTGAATTTGATCCTGTCATGATGATGTTAGCTGGTTATTTTGCTCGTTAGTTGATGCAGTTTCTTCCTAGTCTCGATGGTCTTTACATTTTGGCATGATTTTGCAGCGGCTGGTACCGGTTGTGCCTTTCCATGTTTAGTGCTTCTTTCAGGAGCTCTTTTAGGGCAGGCCTGGTGGCGACAAAATCTCTCATCATTTGCTTGTCTGTAAAGTATTTTATTTCTCCTTCACTTATGAAGCTTAGTTTGGCTGGATATGAAATTCTGGGTTGAAAATTCTTGTCTTTAAGAATGTTGAATATTGGCCCCCACTCTCTTCTGGCTTGTAGAGTTTCTGCTGAGAGATCCGCTGTTAGTCTGATGGGCTTCCCTTTGTGGGTAACCTGACCTTTCTCTCTGGCTGCCCTTTAAGTTTTTTCTTTCATTTCAACTTTGGTGAATCTGACAATTATGTGTCTTGGAGTTGCTCTTCTTGAGGAGTATCTTTGTGGCATTCTCTGTATTTCCTGAATCTGAATGTTGGCCTGCCTTGCTAGATTGGGGAAGTTCTCCTGGATAATATCCTGCAGAGTGTTTTCCAACTTGGTTCCATTCTCCCCATCACTTTCAGGTACACCAATCAGACGTAGATTTGGTCTTTTCACATAGTCCCATATTTCTTGGAGGCTTTGTTCGTTTCTTTTTATTCTTTTTTCTCTAAACTTCCCTTCTCGCTTCATTTCATTCATTTCATCTTCCGTCACTGATACCCTTTCTTCCAGTTGATCGCATCGACTCCTGAGGCTTCTGCATTCTTCATGTAGTTCTCGAGCCTTGGCTTTCAGCTCCATCAGCTCCTTTAAGCACTTCTCTGTATTGGTTATTCTAGTTATACATTCGTCTAAATTTTTTTCGAAGTTTTCAACTTCTTTGCCTTTGGTTCGAATTTCCTCCTGTAGCTCGGAGTAGTTTGATTGTCTGAAGCCTTCTTCTCTCAACTCGTCAAAGTCATTCTCCATCCAGCTTTGTTCCGTTGCTGGTGAGGAGCTGCTTTCCTTTGGAGGAGGAGAGGTGCTCTGCTTTTTAGAGTTTCCAGTTTTTCTGCTCTGTTTTTTCCCCATCTTTGTGATTTTATCTACTTTTGGTCTTTGATGATGGTGATGTACAGATGTGGATGTCCTTTCTGTTTGTTAGTTTTCCTTCTAACAGACAGGACCCTCAGCTGCAGGTCTGTTGGAGTTTGCTAGAGGTCCACTTCAGTCCCCGTTTGCCTGGGTATCAGCAGTGGTGTCTGCAGAACCACAGATTTTCGTGAATCGCGAATGCTGCTGTCTGATCGTTCCTCTGGAAGTTTTGTCTCAGAGGAGTACCCGGCCGTGTGAGGTGTCAGTCTGCCCCTACTGGAGGGTGCCTCCCAGTTAGGCTGCTCGGGGGTCAGAGGTCAGGGACCCACTTGAGGAGGCAGTCTGCCCGTTCTCAGATCTCCAGCTGCGTGCTGGGAGAACCACTGCTCTGCTCAAAGCTGTCAGACAGGGACATTTAAGTCTGCAGAGGTTACTGCTGTCTTTTTGTTTGTCTGTGCCCTGCCCCGAGAGGTGGAGCCTACAGAGGCAGGCAGGCCTCCTTGAGCTGTGGCTGCTTTTTTTTACCTAAGCAAGCCTGGGCAATGGCAGGCGCCCCTCCCCCAGCCTCACTGCCACCTTGCAGTTTTATCTCAGACTGCTGTGCTAGCAATCAGTGAGACTCCGTGGGCGTAGGACCCTCCGAGCCAGGTGCAGGATATAATCTCCTGGTGCGCCGTTTCCTAAGCCTGTTGGAAAAGCGCAGTATTCGGGTGGGAGTGGCCCGATTTTCCAGGTGCCGTCTGTCACCCCTTTCCTTGACCAGGAAAGGGAACTCCCTGATCCCTTGCGCTTCCCAAGTGAGGCAATGCCTTGCCCTGCTTCGGCTGGCGCACGGTGCGCTGCACCCACTGTCCTGCACCCACTGTCTGGCACTCCCTAGTGAGATGAACCCAGTACCTCAGATGGAAATGCAGAAATCACCCGTCTTCTGCGTCGGTCACGCTGGGAGCTGTAGACCGGAGCTGTTCCTATTCGGCCATCTTGGCTCCTCCTAAGTCTTGCTCTTTTCAAGGTAAATTTTGTAAATGTTGTTGAAGTAAGGGTCCTTTTGGTTTTTGGTTTTTGAGGTTTTTGTTTTGTTTTTGATGTGTGGATATTCCATTGTTGCAGCACCATTTGTTAAAAGTGTTCATTATAGTTTTACTTTCAGTACTTTCAGTTTTCTTGAATAATCTTTTCCTTTGTGATTTATGCTGTGTGCTTCTTACGTAAGAAATTCTTCTCTAAGCCAAGGTCATAGAACTTAGAAAATGCACAGTGTTACAGATAAGAGCAAAGTCTCCGGAGTCAGACTGAGTTTGAATCCTGGCTTTACCACTTACTCTCCGTGTGACTTTGAGCAAGTTATTTAACATCTCTGAGCCTCAGTTTCCTCATATATAAAATGAGACTAATAAGAGTCCTTACCTCAGAGGGTTGTTATGAGAATAAAAGGAAATGTAATACATTTCAAGTGCCTGGCACAGTGGCTGTGCATTGGTGATTGTTATCACCATCATTAGATGTTTTCTTAAAATTTTGTTCTGAACATTATAGTCTATAGTTATATAGACCAGAATGGTCTATATAACTTATGTTTTAAGTTTCTTTTTATGGCCTACAGAAGACTTGTTTTATGAAAATAAAATTATCACATTATGAAAGTCTTGTTTAATATTCTTTTATTTTGTAGCTAGTGGCGGTTGGCAGGAACCTGAAAATCCTCACACACAACGGGTAAGTAAAGGGTCATAAGAGAGAGAGGATGAAATCGGAAAAAATTGAGTAAAAGACTGAAGATCTTGCATTTTATGGGTAGATATGAGCTGTGTTTATAAGTCCATAATACGTCTTTGCACATAGACAGTGCTTCTCATTGTAAGACATTGAAATACACTGTCACTTTTTTCCAAATGACTTAAGATAATGGAGAATCCTAGGTGTAGCTTTAGTTCTGTATTTGAATTGTGCATCAGGAAAAGGAACCAAGTTTTTGTTTTTTCTTCACACAACCCACCAGTGAGTTAAGGTTCCATTTGTTCTCAGATACTCTTAGAAATATCATAAACAGCCAGGTGTGGTGGCTCATGCCTGTAATCCCAATACTTTGGGAGGCTGAGGCAGGAGGATTGCTTGAGCCCAGAAGTTCAAGACCAGCCTGGGCAATACAGTGAAACCCCATCTCTACAAAAAAATTAAAAATTCAGCTGAGTGTGGTGGCGCATGCCTATAGTCCCAGCAACTCAGGAGGCTGAGGTGGGAGGATTGCTTTAGCCTAGGTTTTCGAGTCTGCATTGAGCTATGATCATACCACCACGCTCCATCCTAGGCAATAGAGCAAGGCTGTGTCTCAAAAAAAGAAAAAGAATGCGGTAGAGACAAACGCAGTGGCTCATGCCTGTAATCCCCATTACTCAGGAAGCTAAGGCAGGAGGATTGCTTGAGGCCAGGAATAAGTATGTATTTTTATACACATCAAAGCTATACATCTACACACAAGTATTTTAAAATATATGCAAAATATAATATATTTGTTTCTCTGAGTAAGAAAGATATCTAAACCAGTAATAGTTGATACCTCTAATGAGTAGAAAAGTCAACTTGGGCAGAAGGGATAAAAGAGAAGTTTTGCTTTTTATTCTTTTCATGTGTATAGTGTTTGAACTTTTTTTTTTTTTTTTTTTTTGAGACAGGATCTCACTCTGTCACCCAGGCTGGCATGCAGTTGCATGATCACAGCTCACTGCAGCCTCAACCTCCCAGGCTTAAGCAATCCTCCCACCTCAGCCATTTAAAAGAAAAAAAAATAGGTTTTTGGGGAACACCTGGTGTTTGCTTACATGGATAAATTATTCAGTGGTGATTTCTGAGATTTTGGTGTACCTATCACCTGAGCAGTGTACACTGTACCTAATGTGTAGTATTTTATCCTCACCCCCTTCCCAGCTTTCCCCCTGAGTCCGCAAAGTCCATTGTATCATTCTTATGCCTTTGCATCCTCATAGCTTAGCTCCCTCTTATGAGTGAGAATGTATGATGTTTGGTTTTCCATTCCTGAGTTACTTCACTTAGAATAATGGTCTCCAACACTATCCAGGTTGCTGCAAATGCTATTATTTCACTAGTTTTTATGGCTGAGTAGTATTCCATGGTGTATACATACCACATATTCTTTATCCACTCATTGATTGATGGGCATTTGGACCGGTTTCCTATTTTTGCGGCTGTGAATTGTGCTGCTATAAACGTGCAGGCAAGTGTCTTTTTCATGTAATGACTTCTTTTCCTCTTGAGTAGATACCCAGTAGTAGGATTATTGGATCAAACGGTAGATCTACTTTTAGTTCTTTAAGGAATCTCCATACTGTTTTCCATAGTGGTGTACTAGTTTACATTCTCACCAACAGTGTAAAAGTGTCCCCTTTTCACCAGATCCATGCCAGCATCTATTACTTTTTTTTTTTTAATTAAGGCCATTCTTGCAGGAGTGGTTTAGATCTTCATTTCCTTGATCATTAGTGATGTTGACCATTTTTTTAAATATGTTTGTTGGCCATTTGTGTATCTTTGAGAAATGTCTATTCATGTCCTCTGCCTACTTTTTAATGGGATTATTTGTTTTTTTTCTTGCTGATTTGTTTGAGTGTCTTGTAGACTTGAGATATTAGTCCTTTGTTGGATGCATAGTTTGCAAAGATTTTCTCCCACTCTATGGGCTGTCTTTTTAGTCTGCTGATTATTTCATTTGCTGTGCAGAAGCTTTTTAGTTTAAGTTCCATTTATTTTTGTTTTTGTTGCATTTGCTTTTGGGTTCTTGGTAATGAAGTCTTTGCCTAAGCCAATGTCTAGAAGGATTTTTCTCATGTTATCTTCTAGAATTTTTATGGTTTCAGGTCTTAGATTTAAGTCTTTGATACATCTTGAGTTGATTTTTGTATAAGGTGAGAGATGAGGATCCAGTTTCATTCTTCTACATTTAGGTTGCCAATTATCCCAGCACCATTTATTGAATAGGATGTCCTTTCCCCAGTTTATGTTTTTGTTTGCTTTGTCAAAGATCAGTTGGCTATAAGTATTTGGTTTATTTCTGGGTTCTCTATTCTGTTTCATTGATCTGTGTGCCTATTTTTATACCAGTATTATGCTGCGTTGGTGACTATAGTCTTATATATAGTTTGAAGTCAAGTAATGTGATGCCTCCAGAGTTGTTCTTTTTGCTTAGTCTTGCTTTGGCTATGTAGGCTCTTTTTTGGTTCCATGTGAATTTTAGGATTGTTTTTACTAGTTCTGTGAAGAATGATGATGGTATTTTGGTGGGAATTGCATTGAATTTGCAGATTGCTTTGGCAGTATGGTCATTTTCACAGTATTTATTCTACCCAGCCATGAGCATGGGATATGTTTCCATTTGTTTGTGTTATCTGTGATTTCTTTCAACAGTGTTTTGTAGTTTTTCTTGTAGAGGTCTTTCACCTCCTTGGCTAGGTATATTCCTAAGCATTTTGTTTTTGTTTTTTGGGTGGGGTTTTTGCGGCTGTTGTAAACAGGGTTGAGTTCTTGATTTTATTCTCAGCTTGGTCACTGTTGGTGTATAGCAGTGCTACTGATTTCTGTACATTGATTTCATATCCTGAAACTTTACTGAATTCAAAACTTTTTTTTTTTTTTTTGAGATGAAATCTCTCTCTGTCAGCCAGACTGGAGTGCAATGGTGCAAACTCAGCTCACTGCAACTTCTGCCTCTCAAGTTCCAGCGATTCTCTTACCTCAGCCTCCTGAGTAGCTGGGATTACAGGCGCCCGCTACCACGCATATTTTTAGTGCAGATGGGGTTTTACCATGTTGGCCAGGCTGGTCTCGAGCTCCTGACCTCAAGTGATCTGTCCACCTCGGCCTCCCAAAGTGTTCGGGTTACAGGCATGAGCCACTGTGCCCAACCTTTTATTGAATTCATTGATCAGATCTAGGAGCTTTTTGGATAAGTCTCTAGGGTTTTCTAGGCATACGATCATATCATTGGCAAACAGCAACAGTTTGACTTCCTCTTTACTGATTTGGATGCCCTTTATTTCTTTCCTTGTCTGATTGCTCTGGCTAAGACTTCCAGTACTGTGTTGAATAGAAGTGGTAAAAGTGGGCATCCTTGTCTTGTTCCAGTTCTCAGCTGGAATGTTTTCAACTTTTCCCTGTTCAGTATAATGTTGGCTCTGTGTTTGTCGTAGATGGCTTTTACTTAAGGCATGTTCCTTCTATGCTGATTTTGCTGAGGGTTTTGCTCATAAAGGATGCTGGATTTTGTCAAATGCTATTTCTCTGTCTATTGAGATGATCCTGTGATTTTTGTTTTTAATTCTGTTTATGTGGTGTATTACATTTATTGACTTGGGTATTTCAAACCATCCCTGCATCCCTGGTATTAAACCCACTTGATCATGGTGTATTATCTTTATGATATGCTGTTGGATCCAGTTAACTAGTATTTCGTTAAGGATTTTTGCATCCATGTTCATCAGGGATATCTGTCTGTAGTTTTCTTGTTTTGTTGTGTCCCTTCCTGGTTTCGGTATAAGGGCGATGCTGGATTCATAGAATGATTTAGGGAGGATTCCCTCTTTATCTTTTGGAATAGTTTCAGTAGGATTCATAAAAATTATTCTTTGAATGTCTGATAGAAATCAGCTGTGAATCCATCTGGTCCTAGGCTTTTTTTTTGTGGACAGTTTTTTTTAATTACCATTTCAATCTCACTGCTTGTTACTGGTCTGTTCAGAGTTCCTATTTCTTCCTGGTTTAATCTAGGAGGGTTGTATATTTCCAGGAATTTATCCATCTCCTCTAGGTTTTCCAGTTTGTGTGCATAAAGGTGTTCATGGTAGCCCTGAATGATCTTTTCTGTTTCTGTGGTATCAGTTGTAATATCTCCCATTTCATTTCTAATTGAGCTTATTTGGATCTTCTCTCATCTTTTCTTGGTTAATCTCACATTCTATCAATTTGGTTTATCTTTTCAAAGAGCCAGCTTTTCGTTTCATTTATCTTTTTTATTGTCTCTTTTGTTTCAGTTTCATTTAGTTCTGCTCTCATCTTTGTTATTTCTTTTCTTCTGCTAGGTTTGGGTTTGGTTTGTTCTTGTTTCTCTGGTTCTTTAAGGTATGACCCTAGATTGTCTCCTGTACTCTTTTAGACTTTTTGATGTAGGTATTTAATGCTATGAACTTTCTTCTTAGCACTGCTTTTGCTGTATCCCAGAGCTTTTGATAGGTTGTGTCTCACTATTATCATGCAGATCAGAGAGTTTTTAAATTTCCATCCTGATTTCATTGTTGACCCAGTGATCATTCAGAAGGAGATTATTTAATTTCCATGCAATTTGCATCGTTTCAAGAGTTCCTTTTGGAGGTGATTTTCCATTTTATTCCACTGCTGTCTGAGCGAGTACTTCATATAATTTCAGTTTTCTTAAATGTATTGAGACGTGTTTTGTGGCCTCTCGTATGTTCTATCTTAGAGAATATTCTATGTGCTAATGAATAGAATGTATCTTCTGCAGTTGTTGGGTAGAATGATCTGTAAATATCTGTTAAGTCCATTTGTTCTAGGGTATAGTGTAAGTCCATTGTTTCTTTGTTGACCATCTATCTTGATGACCTGTCTAGTGCTGTTGGTGGAGCGTTGAAGTCCCCCACTATTTTTGTGTTGCTTTGTATCTCATTTCTTAGGCGTAGTAGTAATTGTTTTATAAATTTTGGAGCTCCAGTGTTAGGTGCATATATATTTAGGATTGTGATATTTCCTGTTGGACTAGTCCTTTTATCATTATATAATGTCCCACTTTGTCTTTTTTAACTGTTGTTGCTTTAAAGTCTGTTTTGTCTGATATAAGAATAGCTACTCCTGCTCACTTTTGGTGTCCATTTGCATGGAATATCTTTTTTTACCCCTTTACCATAAGTTTATGTGAGTCCTTAGGTGTTAGGTGAGTCTCTTGAAGACGGCAGATACTTGGTTGGTAAATTGTTATCCATTCTGTAATTCTGTATTTTTTAAGTGGAGCATTTAGGCCATTTACATTTAACATTAGTATTGAGATGTGAGGTACTATTCTATTCATTGTGCTAGTTGTTGCCTGAATACTTAGATTTTTTTTTTCATTGTGTTATTGTTTTATAGGCCCTGTGAGACTTATGCTTTAAGGAGGTTATATTTTGGTGTGTTTCAAGGTTTTGTTTCAGGATTTAGAACTCCTTTGAGCACCTCTTGTAGTGCTGGCTTGGTACTGACAAATTCTCTCAGCATTTGTGTGTCTGAAAAAGACTTTATCCTTCATTCATTTACAAAGCTTAGTTTCGCTGGATACAGAATTCTTGGTTGATAATTGTTTTGTTTAAGGAGGCTAAAGATAGGACCCCAGTCCCTTCTAGCTTGTAGGGTTTCGCCAAGAAATCTGCTGTTAACCTGATAGGTTTTCCTTTATAGGTTATCTGATGTTTTTGCCTCATAACTCTTAAGATTCTTTCCTTTGTCTTGACTTTAGATAACCTGATGACTGTGTGCCTAGGTGGTGATCTTTTTGCGATGAATTTCTCAGGTGTTCTTTGAGCTTCTTGTATTTGGATGTCTAGATCTCTAGCAAGGCCAGGGAAGTTTTCTTCTATTCTTTCCTCAAGTAAGTTTTCCAAACCTTTAGATTTCTCTTCTTCCTTGGGAACACCAATTCTTAGTTTTGGTAGCTTAATATAATCCCAGACTTCTTAGAGGCTTTATTTTTTATTATTATTGTTATTATTCTTTTTTCTTTGTATTTGTCAGATTGGGTTAATTCAAAAGCCTTGTCTAAGTGTGTCTGTCATTTCAAAAATTGTGATTGTTTATTATTTATGCTGTCTTTCTCTGGAGATTTTTTTTGTCCATAACCTGTATTTTTTTTTTTTTTTTTAATTCCCTTAAGTTGGTTTTCACCTTTCTCTGGTGCCCCTTTGAGTAGCTTTTTGAGTAGCTTAATAGTTGGCCTTCTAAATTTTTTTTCTGACAATTCAGAGTTTTCTTCTTGGTTTGGATCCATTGCTGGTGAACTAGTGTAATCTTTTTGGGGTGTTAAAGAACCTTGCTTTGTCATATTACCAGAATTGTTTTTCTGGTTCCTTCTCATTTGGGTAGACTATGTCAGAGGAAAGATCTGGGGCTTGAGGGCTACTGTTCAGATTATTTTGTCCTACGACATTGTTCCTTGATGTGGTGCTCTCCCCCTGTGGCTTCCTGAGAGCTGGACTGCAATTATTGTTATTGCTGCTCTGGGTCTAGCCACCCGGCCAGAGCTATCAGTCTCCGAGCTGGTACTGGGGAGTGTCTGCAAAGAGTCCAGTGATGCAGTCCGTCTTCAGGTCTCTCAGTTGTGGATACCAGCACCTGCTCTGGTGGAGATAGCAGGAGAGTGAAGTGGACTCTGTGAGGGTCCTTGGTTGTAGTTTGGTTTCGTATGCTAGTTTTCTTTAATGCTGGTTGTGCTAGCAGTGAATTGTCACGTGGACAGACTCAGGACCTCTGGTTAGCCAGGATGTCACAGGTGGTGGAATTAGCTGTTGTTTTCTCCTTTTGAGGGCAGGGTTGTTCTTTTATGAGTTGCTATAATGAGTTGGTTGGCCTCCAGCCAGGAGGTGGCGCTTTCAAGAAAGCATCAGCTGCAGTAGTGTGGTGGGGATACAAGCTTGCCCTAAGGTTGCCTGGATAAGTATTTGGGTTTCCCAGGTGATCAGTGGGGCCATAAAGCTCCCAAGAGTTTACAGTCTTTTGTCTTGGGCTACCAGGGCAGGTAGAGAAAGACCATCAGGTGGGGGCATATCTGAGCTCAGAATCTCCTTGGGCAGGGTTTGCTGCAGCTGCTGTGAAGGACAGTTGTGTGGTTCTCAGGCCAATGGAGTTATGTTCCCAGGGGGATTATGGCTGCCTCTGCTGTGTCATACTGGTGGCCAGGGAAGTAGGGGAAAGCCAGCAGTGACAGGCTTCACCCAGCTCCCATGCAGCCAGCAAGGCCAGTCTCACTCCCACCATGCCCCACCAACAGCATGGGGTTTGCAGGGCCAAGATTTTGGCCCAGGCTACAAGCCTACTTGCTGAAAAAGCAAGCTAGCCTTTTGGACTCCGCCCCTTCCCGACTGCTGTGGCTTATGTGCTCATATCTGTACTTCCCCTTTACGCCTTCCCCATCTTGATTGTGCCCAGGAAAATTTGCTCTCCGTCAAAGTTATTACAAAGTTCACCTGGAAGTTTCTGTCTCCAAGTGGTCCTTCCTCAGTTCCACTGGCAGCACTCCCCAAGGACCCCTGTGAGATTAAAGTCAGAAATGACTTCCCTGGGCTTCACTGGGAACCGGGAGTGCCTACAGGGCTCTTCCCGCTGTTGCTTCTTCTATTTTTATATTTCACTCGGCTCTCTAAATTTTGTTTCAGCACTAGGTAAGGTTAAATTTTTCTCCCATGATCTGGATTTTTAGGTTCTCCAGTGAGGATGTGTGTTTGAAGGTGGATTTTCCCCCTCTTACACATGGGCACTCACAGATTTTCTGCTGTCTCATGGATTTTGCAGCAGCAAGCCACTTCTTTTAAAGGGTCTGTGAATTCTTTCAGTTTTCCTAGTATGTTCCTGCAGTAGTTCTTGGAATAAAAATTCACAGTGTGAGTCTCCACATGTTGTTCTGTCTGTCTGAGGGGAAGCTGCAAGTTAGTCCTGCCTCCTATCTGCCATTTTTTTTTTGCCACCTCATCCTCTTGAGTAGCTGGGACTATAGGCATACACCACCATGCCCAGCTAATTTTTGCATTTTTTTATAGAGACAAGGTCTCACTCTGTTGTCCAGGCTGGTTTTGAACTCCTGGCCCCAAGTGATCTACCCACTTCAGCCTCCCAAAGTGCTGGAATTGTAGGCGTGAGCCACTGTGCCCATCCTGGTTTGAACTTTTTATGATTAATATGTATTGCTTTTATAATTAAAATGTATTTTAAAAATTAAAAAGTGTGATGGAGTTGGGGAATAAAATACAGTATAAAATGCTATGTTCTTAGAAATAAGTGGTCCTGTGGCCATGCAGAAAAAAAATAAGAGCAGTTGTGAGGGGAAATAAGTAATGAAGTTAGAGAGCAAAAAATTTCCAAGCCTCTTCATTGCCCATTTCTTCCCATCCTTGAACTTCAGTTTTCCATTTCACTTCGGAAAACAGATCACATAACGAAGAAAAATTATCTTAGAAGAAAAAGGGCAAACTTGCCCATCTTAATAATTTGTCTTCTCTATTCATTATGTGTCTAGTCAGTGTAGTTGATTAATTTGATATGTTTTCTGTTAGCTTTTTTGTGTACTGAGTCTGTGATTTTCTTACAGATGAACAAATTGATTGAATATTACCAGCAGCTTGCTCAGAAAGAGAAGGTTGAGCGAGATCGCAAGAAACTGGCACGACGTAGAAACTATATGCCTCTGGCTTTTTCGGTGAGAATTTGGTACTAAAATGATTTGCAAGACCTCTAAGGCCTAAGAACAGTGATCATTTCAGAAAATGGCCATTGTCCTAGATTCCTGAATGGTGGATATCAGAGAGAGGGATTCTTCAAATTATAGACGTTTAAGTCCAATAGTTAGGCTTTTGCTATATCATTAGTTCTGTTTGAGTTATTTGTGTTTTGAGGACATTTGTGTTTCTTTCTCCATCACTCCCCTTTATCTTCTGATTATTTCCCCAGAAAGGCTGTTAATTTTGTAGGCACTGCAGAGTTCCACGTACAGCTTTTGTGTATTACAGAAAGTCTGAGAAGAAGGAGGTGGGCAAATGGTAGATTTCAGTCATATTACCCCTGTAGCCCACCTTTGACATCCTGGCAGTAGTGGTTTCTCAGCTTTAGTTATAATTTTTTTAACATCCTCCCCTGTTTCTCCAAGATGAAAAACACTGACTTTTTACATAGTGCACTTGTGTGGTTAAATAGTAATATATGCAAGTAGAATTTTTGATAAGAATTATTTATGAGAGTCATTCTCTACCAGTTTACGTACTGCTAGTAAGAAGAAAGAAATTAGGATTTGGAATTTTTGTTATTTTACCCCGAGTTTTATTTGCTCTCATAGTACAGTTTGTTTTCTGTGTGCTTGCTTGGGGCCCAGCAAATTGACATTCAATAAATAACATTTATTGAATGGCAATGATGTGTCAAGCTCTGTGCTAAATAAACACTTTACATGTATTACTTTACTTAATCCTCACAAAAATCCTGTGGAGTATCATATCCCCATTTTACGCTTGAGGAAATGGGACCTAGTTAAGCAACTTGTCATACTGCATCCACATGAAAATTAGTTAAGTCATTGAAACCCTAAGGGTTGGTAAAGTCCATATAAAAATACCTAGATTAAGCTGGGTGCAGTGGCTCACGCCTGTAATCCCAGCACTTTGGGAGGCTGAGGCGGGGGGATCACTTGAGGTCAGGATTTCAAGACCAGTCTGGCCAACATGGCGAAACCCTGTCTCTACTAAAAATACAAAAAATTAGCTGGGCATGGTGGCGCACGCCTATAATCTCAGCTACTTGGGAGGCTGAGGCATGAGAATCGCTTGAACCCAGGAGGCGGAGGTTGCAGTGAGCCAAGATAGCGCCACTGCACTCCAGCCTGGGTGACGGAGTGAGACTCTGTCTCAAAAAAAATCTAGATTAGAATTTAAAAACATTAACACTTGCAAAGCACCTACATTTGCAAAAAGAAGTGAATTTTTCTGAATAGTCCAGTGGTATAGTCAGCATATGCACCAATGTGTGTTATATTTAGAGGTAGAATTTGAATTAAATGAATTATTCTTCCAATTTTCCCATATAACCTGCCTGCTATATGCGTTTGCTTCTATCTTATGCTGCATTTTTTGTCTCTGTTGCAACCTGCTGCTATTTTGGGGCTCTACAGCAACATACTATTCATGTAGTGGTAAGTTCTCCTTTATGATTCTTGCTGACCCTGAAGAAGTTAGCAGATGACCACTGGTGTTCCAGGAAGACGTCTGTTGTGTATCTTAGACACTCCACATAGTTCTTGCCTGAGCCGTAGCTTAGATACTTTTAGATTACTAGCAGAAGCTCACATTTGGTTCATTTTTACTGTATTAATATAGTTTCAATCTCCATGTTTAGTGCTGTTATTATTTTAAGAATAGAATAATGATGTGGGGCTACAAATTGCTTTCTTTAAAAGAAGCCTTTAGATTAGCTTTTTTTTTGCTTATTTCCCTGAGCTTCTCATGCTATCCTACCCAAAATTCTTTCTTTTGATAAATAGGGTGTGTAAAAGTGGACTTTCTAATAGGAATTTCTGAACTTTGTTTAGGACAAATATGGTCTTGGAACCAGGCTTCAGCGACCACGAGCTGGTGCATCCATCAGTACCCTTGCCGGACTTTCGTAAGTTTAGACATGAAATGACTTTGAGGAGAACAGCAGGTATCAAAATGAATATCAAATAAATGAGATTAAAACACACACACACACACAGTTGTCAATGGAAAAGAAGATTCTCATACTTAGAAAAGACCTACGCTATACAGATATTCTATGACAGAGGAATACTTCAATTATTGATATCATAGACTGAGGATAATCAGGTGGATCCGTGAGAAATTACTCTTTTGTTTTGTTTTGTTTTGTTTTTTTAATTTTTCAGCCTTAAAGAAGGAGAGGATCAGAAAGAGATAAAGATTGAGCCAGCTCAGGCTGTGGATGAAGTGGAACCTCTACCTGAAGACTATTATACAAGACCAGTAAATTTAACAGAGGGTAATTTTCTGTGTTTTTCTACTTTGTTTCTAGTCTACATCTAATTCTGTTTTTGTTATTTATGTACCTAGTGATTTGAGATTTTTAATGGAATAGCTGTTAGTAGTAAAAACAATATGTAGAAAATAAAACAGCTGTAATAGAGGTAATTGTTTGAAATCTAAAATGTCAACTTTCTATATTTTCATTTTTATGAACAACACTGTTCGTAAAGGCAGTAATGCTTCGTGTAATTACTGGTACATAAAAGTCTGATTTTGAAAGTCACTGTAAACTAAGCCTGTTTTCTGCCTTTCTTTCTAGTAACAACCCTTCAGCAGCGTCTGTTACAGCCTGACTTCCAGCCAGTCTGTGCTTCACAGCTCTATCCTCGCCACAAACATCTTCTGATCAAACGGTCCCTGCGCTGCCGTGTAAGTATTCCATTCTGTAGACTGACCATTTGTACAAGAGGAAAGCAAAAATAAATGTGGCTGGTGTCTGACTAATGTCAAAACCTTTGGAATGTATTAAATACAGAAAATACTTGTAGAGAACATACTAATTGCCAGGCACTATTTTAAATGCTTTCAATATAAACAGCTCTTACAACTCTGTGAGGTAGGTACTACTGTTAAACCTGTTTTACAAATGTAGAAAATGAAGTATCTGAAGGTTAAGTACATAGGGTTAACCCCTAAAAGAATAGTGAAAGAGTGTGAACTTTTAGGCTAGTGTTCAGGCTCAGGGAGGACCAATAAAAAATAATCAATTTAAAAGAAAGCAAGAAAAATCAGCAAAATCCAGGCTCTGGTAATCTACAGAACAAATGACAGAGTTTCTTCAATAAATAAATTGTAAAAACAAAATGGAAAAGAAACCTTTTAGAGGAGTACTATCCAACAGAACTTTCTATGGTGATGGAAGTATTCTGTGTCTGTACAGTCCCGCATGATAGCCACTAGGCACATGTGGCTCTTGAGCACATGAAATGTGATAGTGCAGCTGAGGTACTGAGTCAGTCTTTAATTTCATTTAAATAACCACATGTCGCTAGTGGCTAATGTTACTTAATCATTCTCTAGATTAGAAGAGACTTAAAAGTTTACCAAACACAATGTATAGAGTTTACGTAGATTCGGATTCAAACAAAACAGAAAGAAAGGGCCCAGGGGAGGAGGGAAGAAGGGAAAGAGGAAAGAAGGAAAGAAAAATTTGTGAAATCTTTGAGAAAATTTAAACACTGGTAGCATTTTCGATGCTATTAAAAAACTATTGGGCAGGGCACAGTGACATGCACTTGTAGTCCCAGCTACTCTGGAAGCTGAGGCAGGAGAATCCCTTGAGCCTGAGGAGTTTGAGACTGTAGTGTGTGATGATGGTGCCTGTGAATAGCCACTGCACTCCAGCCTAGGCAACACAGAAAGACCCTGTCTCTTAAAAAAAAAAAAAAAGTATTTTTTCTTTTTTAGGAATAATGATAGTACTTTGTTTGTTTGTTTTTTAATGTCTTTATCTTTTGGAGATACATACAGAAATATTTATGGAGGAAATGACTTGGTCTCTGATATTTGTTGCAAAATAATGAGGGATGAGGAATGGGTAAGAGTATAAATGAAACAAGATTGGCCATTGTTGCTAATTTTTGATAACAAGATGCTGATTCTTTTTGTTTGTTTAACCTGAGAGCATAGATTCAAGTCCTGCATATATATTCCGAAGTTGATAATCGTTGAAGTTGGGTGATGGGTACCTAGAGATTTGTAATACCATTCTATATTTTTGTACACGTTAGAAAATTTCTATAATGAAAAACCTTTATAAAAAGAAAGAAAAAGAAGGGGCAAAGGAACATTGAATTGGTAGTTCAAATAGAAAGCCTGGGCTCATGCCTGTAATCACAACACTTTGAGAGGCCAAGGCAGGAAGATCACTTGAGCCCAGGAGTTTGAGATCAGCCTAGGCAACATAGTGAGACCCTGTCTCTACCAAAAAAAAAAAAAAAAAAAAAAAAAAAAAAAAGCCAGTGTGGTGGTTCACACACTTGTAGTCCCAGCAAGTCAGGAGGCTGAGGCAGGAGAATTGCTTGAGCCCAGGAAGTTGAGGCTGCTGTGAGCAGTAATCACACCACTGCACTCCAGCCTGGGTGACGAAGCAAGACCCTGTCTGTTAAAAAAAAAAAAAAGATTGTGTGTGGTAAGATAGTAGATTAAAATCCAGATGTATCAGTATTTACATTAAATACCAATGAACTAAATGCTTCCATTAAAAGACAAACATTGTCAGTCTAAATAATAAAGCAAATTGCAGTGATCCATCTATATGCTTATTACAAGAAGCACAAACATGAGAACTCAGAAAAGTTGAAAGTAGAGAGAAGTGGGAAAAATATTGGACAAACACTAATTTTTTTAAAAGAGGGATAATTTGTTTAAAAAAAAGATTCAATTTACAAAGAAGATATAACCGTCTAAAGTCATGTGCACTGAATAATAGACTCAAAATATATAAAGCGACATTTGAGAAAATTACATAAATGGACAAATCATTTTGGGAAATTTTGACATACTTCTCTCAGTAACCGAGAGAACAAATAGATGAAAATCAGTAAGAATATAGAACATTTGGACAATTTATCTAGCAAACTTGACCAAATGGGCATATATAGACTACTGTACCCAATGTCTGCAGAATATATGCATTCTTTTCAAGTACACACAGAACACTTATAAAGGTTGATTATATACTGGATTATTATAAAGTAAGTCTGAACATTTTTCAGAAGATGAAATTCTTTTTCAGTTAAAAGAAAGTTTTTATTAACAAGAAAAGATTTAAGTCACATTTATACTTTATAATAATAAATAGGCTAAGATGCTCAATAACACAAGACTTTCTCTTTTGAACACTTTATTTCCATTTAGTACTCTTAAATACATTTGCTTGTTGTGTGTTTATATTTTAATAGGTAAAAGTTATGAATTACCAGCTATTTTGCTACCTAACTGCACGGGAAAATGAAAATTTATAGAATTTTATCATTAGATCAGAGTTTTAAAAATCAAAGGATAAGGATTTGTTTAAAATCTTTTAACATTAGGGCATTATACCTTTTTCAGAACAAATATAATTTACAGAAATTATACAAGGCAATTTTTTATCAAATATCAATATTTTAAAATGCTTTATTTAGCTGAAATGTTATTTCAGTTGAGAAAACTATCTCCAATTACAAAAAAATCATCAGGAAGCTTATTGGGTTTTTTGTTTTTTTTTTTTTTTTTTTTTTGAGACGGAGTCTCGCTCTGTCGCCCAGGCTGGAGTGCAGTGGCGCGATCTCGGCTCACTGCAAGCTCCGCCTCCCGGGTTCACGCCATTCTCCTGCCTCAGCCTCCCGAGTAGCTGGGACTACAGGCGCCCGCCACCACGCCCGGCTAATTTTTTGTATTTTTAGTAGAGACGGGGTTTCACCGTTTTAGCCGGGATGGTCTCGATCTTCTGACCTCGTGATCCGCCCGCCTCGGCCTCCCAAAATGCTGGGATTACAGGCGTGAGCCACCGCGCCCGGCCTGCTTATTGGGTTTAATCTGCTTTAGAAATGTCCTAAGAAGCCTAAAATTAAATATTTTAAGTAGAAAAAAATAATTTTAAAATAGTATGTTATACTATTACTGTGGTTTATATACATATATTAAATGGTCTCTTTTATAGGAAACATGTCTGGAAGTTTATCACATTAAGCACTGTAAAATTAAAGGCAAGAGCTAATCACCTTTTAGCAAAAGTACTCTGTATGCAACAGTTGCAAATATGAAAGCTATTATTTAGCAGTTGATAATTGCCTGATACAAAATATAAACAAAGTACATTTACTGGATTGTTTTTAGTTTGCAGCTGCCCTCAAATATCCCAGATAAGGATGTCTCATAAATCAAAGCTGCAGTACAATTCACTTAGTGGTTAGTTAGGCCAATCCTCCCCGCCATTATCCTTGTTCTTCCCCACCGCCCCTAACCCCTGCAGTGGCACCATATTATTAAAAACATTAAGTACCTGGGGTTTGTGCTTCAGGTCAAGACATCATTTGCATAATTTCAAATGACAGACAACTTTTCATGTAAAAATGATGCTTTGTGGTCACAATTACTTCAAAAAGTAATTGTTTTCAAATAACCTGACATACCGTACCTTAGCAATTACAAAACCATGATTTTGACACATGGCATTTGTAAGATGTGAACAGCTGTTCTTCTGCTTAAGTTTAGAGTGCTGCAAAACTTGGGTAATGACTATTTTTTCAGTTAACATAACCAGCCCACGGTACAGCACACTGTATCACAAAGTACAAATCCAAGGAAGGTAATACCTTTGCTAAGTTGCGGAATTTTGGCAAATCAGTACAGGTCTCTTTAATATGATAAAACTGTATTTTTGTGGGAGTCATGTATAACTTTAGGAATAATTTTCACTCCAAAAATATTTAAGTGCCAGCTGATACTATTAAAAACATTATAATGGTTTTTAATGGTGATTTATAACAAAGCAAGGATAATGGCGGGGAGGATTGGCCTAACCACTAAGTGAATTGTACTGCAGCTTTAATTTATGAGAAATTTATGAGAAGTTATTTTATACAAACTAATATGTTTTAAACTACACAATATCTCTTCTTAAGTGAGCTCCCCTGTTCAAGCTGTTAGAGTATCCAGCAGCAGAGCAATGCATGTCTCGAGGAGGTGGCTCCGCTCAGTTGTGGGGTTGGTCCAAAGCTGGGGAGAGTTCCAGTGTGTTGAAAGCTTTAAAATTCTATTTTAAGGAGATTTACTGTCAATACCAATTTCCAAGGACTTCTTTAAAAATTGTTAAATTTTCACATAAATACTGGAACTCTCAAAATTAGACAGTTATTTCAAACAACATTCATTTCAGATGATCCCTTATATTTAGAAGCCCTGCATCTCGTTGGTTTGATCAAAAGTCATATAGCCTTATACCAGCTTATTTTTTTTTTAATTCTGCTTAAAATATAGGTTTGTTGGGAGGCTGAGGCAGGAGAATTGGTTGTACCCAGGAGGCGGAGGTTGCAGTGAGCCAAGATTGCGCCATTGTACTCCGGCCTGGGCAACAAGAGCAAAACTTGTCTCAAAAAATAAATAAATACAGGTTTGTTTTAAATAACAAAATATAATAAATAGCCAGCTTGGAGAGACCTGGGGCACCCATCCAATATTGTCTACCAACTTTCATGATTGTTTCTTTGCACATGCTGCTGCTGCCATTGGAGTCCCTATGCTTTCTCTTGCTGAGGCTGTCAGCTGGAAGATGAAATTATTAAAGTATATTATTTGATCACAACGTAGTTAAGTTAGGAATCAGTAATTTCTTTATAGCAAAACTTGCAGGATACAACTAAGGCTGTGCTTAGCTATACAGTATATATTAGAAAAGAAGAAATATTAAAAGATTAGCGATGTCAGCATCCATTTCAAGAAGTTAGAAAAAAAACAGCAAAGTCCAAAGAGAACAGGTGTTAATAAATTAAGAAACCAAAATAAAATACAATAAATTAATATAAAATACAGTAAATTAAGAAACCAAAATACAAAAGGGCAACAGAATCAGAAGTTGATTTCTTAAAAAAGATTAGTAATGGAAATAGTTATATATAAATTAAATTGATATAAATTTATATAAATATGGTTATATAATGCACCATTAATATAGTAATACCTACCAAAAGTAAAGTTACCTTTTGTCTCATCAACTTCACTTTTAGGAATCTACCTTGCACCTCCACAAATACAAACCAAAATATGCAGAGATTATAGTATATCCGCAGAATGAGTACTATAAATTTATAAAAGAATGTGTTAATATGGGATACTTTTTTTTTTTTTTTTTTTTTTTGAGACGGAGTCTCACTCTGTTGCTCATGCTGGAGTGCAGCGGCGTGATCTCGGCTCACTGCAAGCTCCACCTCCCAGGTTCACGCCATTCTCCTGCCTCAGCCTCCCGTGTAGCTGGGACTACAGGCGCCCGCCACTACGCCTGGCTAATTTTTTTGTACTTTTAGTAGAGATGGGGTTTCACCGTGTTAGCCAGGATGGTCTCAATCTCCTGACCTCGTGGTCCGCCCGCCTCAGCCTCCCAAAGTGCTGGGATTACAGGCGTGAGCCACTGCGCCCAGCCTGGGATACATTTTTAAATGCAAAAAGCAAAGTGCATGGTAGGTATGCACTTTTTCTGTATAAAAAAGGAGGGAAAGTACAAATGTACATATAAACAAAAAAAAGTGTGTCTATATGTATGCAGACGTAGACCCATGCATATGAGAAAATTTGTTATATACTAAATATGGCATTGTAGATCATTGGGGAAAGAATAGGCAATTATATTTTGCTAGGTCAAGTGATTATATGGAAGAAAATAAAATTGGGTTGCTACCTCACCCTACATAGAAGTTAATTTCAGGAACATTGGAAATCTGAAGAGCCAAACTTCTAGAAGGAAATAGAGGAGAATACCTTCATGACTTCTGGGTAGGGAAATGTTTCATAAGTAATACAAATAAGCACAAACTGTAATGTAAAGTTACATATTTTACTTCATTAAAAGTAAAACTTGTACCCTCATGCCAAAGAAAACCCATAAAGAAATGAAAAGATAAGCCACAGACTGAGAAAAGTAGTTTGCAAGGTATATTATTAACAAGAGATTAAAATCTATTGTTAATATCAGCAAATCGGCAAGGAAATAAAAATAACCAGTAGATCCTAACATTCAAGTTATGGCAGAGGAAATCCCAATAGCCAATAAATATGAAAGATATTCAAATTTATACACTAATCAGGGAAATGTACATTAAAACTGCAATGAGAAAATGAAAAATTAAAAAAAATTAACTGCAGTGGAATATCATTTCATAATCGTCAGATTAGTCAGTTATATTTCAGTATCCATTAAAATAGCAAATGCATACACCCTTTGATCTACTCTTAGGAAATTGTCTTACAGATACTTAGACACTTAGGAAATGATTCATGTACAAGAACACTCATCGCTGCATTACTTACAGTAGCAAAATAATGGAAACATCCTGAATGTCCATCAATTTCTATCTTATGTAAGTTATAGAAATTGTTACAGTGGGACACAGAGGCCTCTCTATATGTACTGAAATGGAATTAATTCCAAGATAGAATAAATGAAAAAAGCAAGAGAATAAATATAAAATGTTCCCTTTTGTGTTATTGTGAAAAAAGCAAGGTGATGTATGCTTGTACTTTTATGTGCATAGGCTATCTGGAGAAAACAAGGGGACAGACAGATAATGGGTAATCTTTACACTGGACACCTTTTTTGTTCTGTTAAAAAAATTTTTAACCAGGTATATGTAGTATGTATTTAAGAAAGTAGTAAATAATTATTACTGTCCTAGTGCAGTGGCTCATGCCTGTAATCCCAGCACTTTGGGAGGCCAAGGCAGGAAGATTACTTGAGCCCAGGAGTTGGAGGCTGTAGTGAGCTTTGATTGTGCCACTGCACTCCAGCCTGGGTAACAGAGTGATACCCTATCTCAAAAGTAATCATTGTTACTGTACTTTAAAGCATAGGATCTGGAATTTTACTACCTAGATTTAAATCCCAGTGTCCATTTTTATTGGCTCTGTGAAGTTGGACAGGTTACTTACCCTTCCTGTATACCATTTTGATCATCTATAATATGGCAACCTTAATGTAATACCTATACCTAGCTCATAAAGTTGATGTGATATTTAAATCCAGTTAAACCAGTGAGCACGTTGTTTAGCAAATACAGTATGTACTCAGTATGTGTTATTTTAGTAGTTTTTAAGTACCACAGAGGTATAATAATATTGGATAGTGGGGTTGCACATATCAGGAAGTGCGAACATCTTTTATAAACTTTGGCTGCTATACATTATTCAAAAACATATGGTCTTATAGCAGAACAAAACAAAACAAAATTCTCGTAAATGCTGTCCTTCTGAATTTAGCAGCTCTATGGATCAACAAAGTGTGTTGTTGTCTTCTGATACGTGTTATATTTGTTTTCTTTTTAGAAATGTGAACATAATTTGAGCAAGCCAGAATTTAACCCAACGTCAATCAAATTCAAAATCCAGCTGGTCGCTGTGTAAGTATTTTGGGATTGGTGTTTTCAGTTACTGTTTTGAGTTATTTTGGTTTATTCTTCTTCCCCAGTATGAAGTGTGTTTACTCTTGGCCTAAAAAAAAAAAAATTACATCAAAATAATCTTGACATTCTGTTCCTGTTTAGGTTTTTAATTTAGTTACATGCCATGAAGTTTAAGATAAATAGATTCAGGGGTATTGGGATCAGGGACACAGTGTCCCAGTATGATCTGGAGCAACAAGGTATGTTGATTATTTGGTGGAAAGTCACTAGTCATCATTACAAATTATAAAGTATCTGAGTTTGGGAATAATCCTTCAAAAAAAATTTAAAAATAATGAAGTATAGCTGATTGAAGAGTATCCCTGTAACAGTGTTCATTTTACTTACCTGTGTTATAACACTTCGTTGACTGGAATGAAAGTGATTAAGTTAGTGTTAACTCTCTGGGACTTGTGAGTAGAAGAGAATTTTGTGTATAAAAACTACCTATCAGGCTATCTGAATGGTCCTAATTAGAGACAAATACTGCCACTTAAAACTTACCCAGTGTTCATCTAATTAAATGTAAACTTTTCATATCTCATCATACTTTTCTAATACATAAATTTTTTAAATTACCTGGCAAACAAAAATATTTTCACAAATTAGGAAAGTATTGTCTAGCTTTGGAGTAAGAGAGCCCTTCTTTAGCAAGACAGGAAACCCAGAAGCCATTAAAAGAAAAGAAACACCTTTGACCTTAGCAAAAAGAAATAGTGGTTATAAAAGATGAAATTAAAGCCAGGTGCAGTGGCTCACACTTGTGATCCCAGCACTTCGGAAGCCTGAGTCAGGAGGATCACTTGAGCCCATGAGTTGAAGACCAGCCTGGACAACATAGTAAGACCCCATCTCTACAAAAAATTTTTAAAATTAGCCAGGTGTAGTGGCATGCACCTGTAGTCCTAGCTACTTGGGAGTCTGAGGTGAGAGGACCCCTTGAGCCCAGGAAGTCAAGGCTGCAGTAAGCTATGATTGTCCCACAGCACTCCATCCTAGACAGTGGAGCAGGACTCTCTCTCTAAGGAAAAAAAAATTTTTTTAAGACAAAATTAGCAACAAAGTCCTGAGACAAATAGTAAAGCAAGAAAGAATATTTGGCAGTCATGACAAACAAAAGTTTAATATCCCAGGCATAGAGAATTCCCAGAAATTGAAAAGATAAAAATAGAGGGAGGCAGTAAAGTGGAATGTGGAACAAGGGATTTGAACAGGTAGCTTATGGGAAAGGAATTTCAAATGACCAGAAGATACACTGTATATGGAAAGAAACTAAGATTTGATAGGAAAAGTTTTAAAAGGTAATTAGCATCTAGTGCTCATGAGAATGTGGGTAAACACATACTTGCACACATTGTTGGTGGGATCTTGAATTGCTAGTCTTTTTGGAGAGTGGTCTGGAAATATCAAAACAAATTACATAGACCTTTTAACCCAACAGTACTGTTTCAGGGATATATTCTGTAGAAACAAAATCACCAATATATAAAGATGCATTTCCAAAGGTGTGTTTTAGAATATATTAATGGCAAAAAGCTGCAAACAGTTTAACCAAAAGTTAATCAGTGTCAAACTGATTAACCATTAACAAGGAAATAGTTGGTTAAATTGAGATAACTTGTACTGTAGAATATTATGCAGCAATTAAAAATAAGTATTAGGAAACAAAAAGGTTGGGAAGTGCATGTCTAGTGAGTTAGGAGGAGCTAGGAGGGCCAGGAAGAGGGTCTGTCACTTACTATTTTTGTCTAAACATACTTCCCTCGTCTCTGAAATGGGAATAATGTATTCCTCTTGGGATTCTTGAAAAGAATCAAATGAGTAATTATGTTTGCAAATGCCTTGTAACTCACCATAAAATATGTTCATTTTCCTAACTACTCTTAATACATGATTGGTTAGAGACCTACAGAAATGGCACTTGTGAAGTCTGGGATGAACTCCTTTCTTAAGAATTATACTCATTACAGAAACCCTGAATGGCAGCCTGTACTTAGCATCAATTTCTTAAGCTTGCTTTGAGAAAAAGTGATTTTTTTCTGACATCATTTTAGAATTGCCTGGCTATCTTAATACAGATGCTCTGAGGCCAGGTGTTTGGCTCATGCCTGTAATCTCAACATTTGGGGAGGCCAAGGCAGGAGGATCGCTTGAGCCTTAGGAGTTCAAGCCCAGCCTGGGCAACACAGTGAGTCCTCATCTGTACAAAAAATCAAAAATTAGCTGAGCATGGTGGCACACACCTGTACTCCCAGCTACTTGGGAGGCTGAGGTGGGAATGTCACTTGAGCCTGGGGGGTCGAGGCTTCAGTGAGTCATGATTGTGCCGTTACACTCCAGCCTGGGTGACAGCAAGACCCTGTCTCAAAAAAAAAAAAAAAAATACAGAGCTCTGGTATCAAACCTCAGACCTACTGAATTCAAATTCTTAGAAGTGGGGTCTTTAAATTTATTTTTATTGTTGTTGCTTTTGTGTGTGTGTGTGTTTTTTTTGAGATTCAGGAAGACAAAAGTTTCTTAAATTCCTGTTAAGTTACTCAGGTAATCCTGCTGGTCACCATGAAAAATAGCTCGTTTAAAGTTTAAATATCTGATTCTAAGATGTACTTTTTCCCCCACTTTTAATGTTTCTGCAATAGATTTCGTATTACGTTAATGTATGCACAATAATGAACATTTATGTGAGCTTTGTTCCAAGCACTTTTCAAAGCATTCTTGCATGTATTCTTCACAATAACCTCAAGTGAAAGATACCATTATTTTCCTCATTTTAGAATTGGGAAAACCAAGGCACAAGGAGATAAATATCTTGCCTTAGTCATTACAAAGCAATATCTTGATATGTAAATGCTAATCTGGGGCCTGGGCAGTTTCAACTAGAAATATACGTAAGATTTCAGAAAGAACTCATACCAGTTTGGTCTTATGTCTTTTCTTAAGTTCTTACTGTGATGATATGGTTCATTAAAATTATTTTTTTTCTGATACATTCTAATTAACATGAAATCCTTTATGTACTGCACTAGCTTTAAAAAATAATAATAATTTTAAGAGACTCCAATGAACATTAATGCATTTTTTTATTTATGCACAGCAATTATATTCCAGAAGTGAGAATCATGTCAATTCCCAACCTTCGCTACATGAAGGTTAGTACCTTGCTCATTAACAGGAAGAAAAAGGATTGATCAATGATGTGTGTACATGTGTATGTGGGTGGCTGTGTGTGTATTTGGCACAGGATCCAGTGAGCAAGGGATAGAAAAGAAGACAGTTTGGGATAATAAAGACTAAATTTGTTGACACTGAGATTCTTGACAACAGCATCTGATGAAAAGTAGGGAGAAGGAGCAGGGTGCACATTATGTTAAGGTGAAATTATAGGTGGGGAAAAGAAAGGAGAGAATGTTGGATCCCACAGGCATCTTTTGTTCTTCTCCAGCCTAGAGATTCTCTTCGATCTCCTGTTTGTTATGTTTCAGGTACTAGGATTCAGTTAGATTTATATACCACAGCCCTTCTCTTCCTTGGAGTCCTCATCTACTCCCCTTCCTTCCACACACACACCCAGTGAATTGTAGAATATTCTGCAGCAAACTCTTTAACTCTTCTTTCATGCTGCTCCTGAAAACACAAATATTTATTACATGGGCCTTCATTTGAAAGATTTGTTTTGCTTATCTAGAGAGGGTACCAAACAAGGACAAATTATCACAGTTCAAGAAGTCTTAAAAAGTTTTTATAAGGTCGGGCACGGTGGCTCATACCTGTAATCCCAGCACTTTGGGAGGCCAAGATAAGTAGATTGCTTGGGTGCAGGAGGTCAAGACCAGCCTGGGCAACATGGGGAAACCCCATCTCTACAAAAAATACAAAAAATTTGCCAGGTGTGGTGGCGCACACCTGTGGTCCCAGCTACTCAGGAGGCTGAGATGGGAGGATCACCTGAGCCCAGGAGGTTGAGGCTGCAGTGAGCCATGATCATGCCACTGCACTCCAGCCTGGGCAACAGAGTGAGACCTTGTCTCGAAAATAAATAAATAAATAATAAAAATTTTAAAAAGTTTTTGTAGTCTTGGTGTGCCATTTTTGCTCTGTTCATGCATCTGACTGGCCTGTGGCTCCCATATTTTATTTATGAGGGCCTCCTTTTCAGTCCTTAAGTGGCAGCCTGGGTGAGACAAGAGTTTTAACTTCACTTAGATAATGAACATTCCTCAGAATTTCTGGATCTAGTAACTGGCCCTTTCAGTGGAATCTGTCCCATTTCCTCAGTGAAATAGCAACTCCAGAGAGTATTTGGTCTAACATATAGATAATAGAACAGGGATCAGTAAGCACATAGAGAATACAGTGATGTAGAGGTATAAGTAGGGCGTCATTGCCCAGGAGTAATGGCGGGGATGGTAATTTTGCGAAATATTCGGTATAGCAGCTAAGAAAGTGGCGAATGTCTGAGAGATGTGTTTCCTATTCACCAGGAGAGCCAGGTCCTCCTGACTCTTACAAATCCAGTTGAGAACCTCACCCATGTGACTCTCTTCGAGTGTGAGGAGGGGGACCCTGATGATATCAACAGCACTGCTAAGGTAGGAGCATTTTGCCTCAGCCTGACTGACCCGCACTTTCCCTGGAGTGTCCTCATTTGACCTGGCTTAAAAGACTCCACACACTCTCCTTTCCACATCTAGTCAGCAAGTTCTTTTGATTCCACCTCCTAAATTTTTTTACTTTATCCTGAAACACACTGCCCTATTTGAAGGTCTCATCGTTTCTTACCTGGACAGTGACAATAACTTCCTAAATGACCTTGCTATTTTTATACCACCACCTCTGTTTCAACCCATTTCTTCTCTCTTGCCACCAGGGTGATACTTCTAAAATCTAACTCTGTGCATGCTGGTCATTTAGCATTGCTCTTGACTGAGATGAAGTCCAGATTTTTGGCATAGCATAAGAGCTGCTTAATGACATTACTTCTCTGTTCTTCCAGTGTGGTCTTCCTTCAGATCCTCAAATTTAGCATTCCCTGAATCGTACATATTAGTGGTTGTGATCCAGACAGATCCAATGGGTTATAAACTTTGACACTGGAGAATTGTGTATGCTATTCATTTTACTTAGCATGCCTCCTTCCTATCCTGACTCCCCTAACATACATGCCCCTTCAGTCTCTCAGTCTCATACATTCATTCTTCAACACTTGTGAAATATCATTTCCTTTTAGAAATGATACGTTTAAAATCATTTAGAAGCTGGTATGCCTCCTCTAGATTCCTCTACCTTACAAAGAGTATACATAACATAGCACTAACTAGTCTGGGCTTGGTGGCTCACGCCTGTAATCCTAGCACTTTGGGAGGCCAAGGTGAGTGGATCATCTAAGGTCAGGAGTTCAAGACCAGCCTGGCCAACATGGTGAAACCCGTCTCTACTAAAATACAAAAATTAGCCGGGCATGATGGCAGATGCCTGTAATCTCAGCTACTGGGGAGGCTGAGATGGGAGAATCACTTGAACCCGGGAGACAGTGATTGCAGTGAGCTGAGATCGCGCCACTGCACTCCAGCCTGGGCGGCTGAGGTGAGACTCCATCTCAAAAAACAAAATAACTAAATGTTAAAGTAGGTGATTTTGACTCAGTGTGAGTTGAATGGATGTAATATGGCCTCTCTTTATATTTTGCTACTTCTAGTACTTGAAATTTTAGAACAAGAGCCTTTCTCTATAGATCATCTATTACTAATTCATAATTCAGCATGATATTTATAATAGAAATGGTTTAAAAAGATGCCTATATCTTTAGTTCTTATTCAAATAATATTAGAGAATTTCTGTCCTCTTTTTTTTTTTCTTCTGCTTTTTAATGATTTCACTTACTAGCATCACCTCCAAAGAGAGATAACACTTATTTCACTTATTTGGTCCTTGTTGCTTTTTTTTTTTTGAGACGGAATCTCACTCGGTCGCCAGGCTGGAGTGCAGTGGCGCAGTCTCGGCTCACTGCACTCTCCGCCTCCCAGTTTCAAGCGATTCCCCTACCTCAGCCTCCCAAGTAGCTGGGATTACAGGCGCCTGCCACCACGCCCGGCTAATTTTTTGCAGTTTTAGTAGAGACGGGGTTTCACCCTGTTGGCCAGGATGGTCTCAATCGCTTGACCTTGTGATCCACCTTCCTCGGGCTCCCAAAGTGCTGAGATTACAGATCTGAGCCACTGTGCCCTGACGTTCCTTTTTTTATTAACACTAATAAGCAGCTCCAGTTAAGACAGACAGAAATAAGTACCTGATGCATAAGCACAGCATATCTTTATAAAGCTCTCTTTATACCTCCCCTCCCACATTTGTATCTATAATTAGAAATTTGATCAACACTGTTAACTGTTAACCTCTGATAGAGCAAAGTTGAGGCCTAATTACAACATAAGTCTGAAGAATGCTAATTGTTTTCCATGACCATAATCACCCAGTATCTCATGTAAGTTTATGTATCAGGTACCAGGAATCAGCTGGTACCATGTCAAAAAACATTGTGTTGGAACCAGTGTTTCTCCTTTGTGTTGTTCTTAATGATGGACTGTTTCAGATGTATCAAAAAAAAATGAGGAATAATATGGCAAGTACCCATTTCTCCCCATCCCCTTAAGAAATTAAACATTAGGGCTAGGCGCGGTGGCTCACGCCTGTAATCCCAACAGTTTGGGAGGCCGAGGCAAGTGGATCATGAGGGCAGGAGTTCGAAACCAGCTTGGCCAATATGGTGAAACCCCGTCTCTACTAAAACTGCAAAAAATTAGCCAGGCATGGTGGTGGGCACCTGTAGTCCTAGCTACTCATGAGGCTGAGTCAGGAGAATCGCTTGAACCCAGGAGGCAGAGGTTGCAGTGAGCCGAGATCATGCCATTTGCACTCTAGCCTGGGCGACAGAGTGAGACTCCATCTCAAAAAAATAAATAATAAAATAAAACATTAAAGACACAATTGAAGCCCCCATGTTCTCCCCAGTTCCTCATTGCAGACCCCATGAAGTAAGTACTAACTTAGCTTTCTCTTAAAACCTTTGTTCTTATAAACTCCATAGAAGTAGTATATGTTTCCTGAAACTTGCTGTGTGCTTCCATTTGTCTAAATCAATGTCGTACTTTGCTATATTCTGTCACACTGGTCCCTTCTCAGGCAGGCCTCTCTGTGTTGCTCTCCAGGTGGTGGTGCCTCCCAAAGAGCTCGTTTTAGCTGGCAAGGATGCAGCAGCAGAGTACGATGAGTTGGCAGAACCTCAAGACTTTCAGGACGATCCTGAGTGAGTGATCTTTTTGTGATCCCCATACAACAAATGGCTGATAATAGAATGCCCACTTATATCCAGTTTTCTTGTCTGGATTTTTTAAAATAACTTTTTTCTTCCTGTTTCTAAAAATAATTATTGTAGAAAATTGGGGAAATATATGTAAGACCATGAAGAAGAAAATAAAATTATCCCACCACCAGAGATAAACACCATTAGCATTTTGGCATTTGTCCTTCCAAATATTTCTCACCTCATTGGGATCATTCTATAAATACAGTTTTTTAGCCTTTTTCACTTGAATATATTTTCCCATGTTAATAAAGAAATTTTTAATTATATGATTTTAATGGTTGTGGACAGGATACAATACTCTGTCCCTAGAGATTGATCATCGGGTTTGTTCCCCACCCCCACCCCCTTGGAGGAATTAATAGATTTTACTCTCTCATATCTAATAACTGAAAAGAACCAAACCTTCCAGTAACTGGGGACTGTGACCATCAGAGAATTCAGTCTGTAGACTGAATGTTTTCAATGATTCGAACAGAGGATTTAATATAAATAATTGTTCACTTGTGTAACTTAAAAAGTGAAAAAGAACACTGAAGTAGCAATTTTATGCTACTTCATGGGCATAAAATTTCAAAGATAGCTATTTGATGAGCCAGCTACCACCCCTTAGGTGGAGGGAACAAAGGGAAATAGTTAGAATTATTAAAATTTAGAACTTAAACAAAGAGCTCCATGTAGCTGAAACTCAGGCCTCCAGTGAGCTGAAGGGGAACACTGCTTGCGTGGTCCTGGCATCTCGTGATGGCAAAGGAGGGGTGGCATGATTATACAAGAATTGGAAAACTTCAACTGCTTACTGCCACTTCCTCCTGGGTAAAGAAGCATTGCTGGGCCGGGCATGGTGGCTTACCCCTGTATTCTCAACACTTTGGGAGGCTGAGGCAGGAGGATTGCTTCACAGGAGTTTGAAACCAGCCTAGGAATAGAGTTAAGACTCCGTCTCTACAAAAAAATTTTAAAAATAGCCAGGTGTAGCAGCGCATGCTTGTAGTCCCAGCTACTCAGGATACCAGGGTGGGAGAATCAGTTGAGCCCGGTAGGCTGAGGCTGCAGTCAGCTGTGATTGTGACTGTACTCCAGCCTGGGCAACAGAGTGATACCCTGTCTCAAAAAAAAAAAGACATTTTTGGAGTGATGGCCACAGGGAACAGGGACCACAAGCAAACAGGAATCTCTAAAGGAAGAGCAAGACCCTTCCTCCTCCAGACTTCTAGTCTCCCTTTAGAGCCCGCTGCTGACAGAACCTGACAAAGAGCCATCCGATCCAGCAGATACAGTCCAAGCAGAATCCTGTGTCACAAAGCAAAATTGAGAGAGGTGCGCTTGGAGCTGAAAAATAATAGCTTAGTAAACTGGCACAGGGAACATTCACAGTCTTTGTTTTGTTTTTAGAGAAGGAGTCTCTGTCGCCCAGGCTGGAGTGCAATGGCGTGATCTCCTGCTCACTGCAACCTCCACCTCCCGAGTTCAAGCAGTTCTCCTGCCTCAGCCTCCTGAGGAGCTTGTATTACAGGCAAGCGCCACCACGCCTGGCCAATTTTTGTATTTTTAGTAGAGATGGGGTTTTGCCATGTTGCCCAGGCTGGTCTTGAACTCCTGACCTAAAGTGATCCACCCGACTTGGTCTCCCAAAGTGCTGGGATTACAGGCGTGAGCCACCATGCCTGGCCCATTTACGGTTTTTTGACAGAATGATCAAAAGCTTTCTCAACAAGATATTAGAGAGAAGAGATAACAAGGTGGGTTAGAAAAATAAAGTGAAGCCAGGTGTGGTGGCTGATGCCTGTAATCCCAGCACTTTGGGAGGCTGAGGCAGGCAGATCACTTGAGGTCAGGAGTTTGAGACCAGCCTGGCCAACATGGCGAAATCCTGTCTCTACTAAAAATACAAAAATTAGCCAGGCGTGGTGGCACGTGCCTGTAATCCCAGCTTCTTGGGAGGCTGAGATGGGAGAATCACTTGAACCCTAGGGGCGGGGGTTGCAGTGAACTCAGATCACGCCACTACACTCCAGCCTGGGCAACAGAGCCAGACTCCGTCTCAAAAAAAAAAAAAAAAGAAAAGAAAAGAAAAATAAAGTGAAGGCAAAGGTGAGATTAGTTTAGTGATACCAAACGTGGGTTAACTTCAGAAAGCACCAGGTCAAGTGTTGTTTTGTTTTGTTGTTCGATAGCATTCCAGACCCTAACCCCAGAGGATTTTTTTTAGCAGGTCTAGCTAGGGACCAGAAATCCAAATTTGTTTTGGAAAAGCTTCCCAGGTATCAGTGGTTGCCTGGGAAATTAAGGATAAAAAGAAAGACTGATGTTTTTCTTTTTACCATTTTAAACTGTTTGAATTATTTTTTACATGACTCATACAAATCAAAGGTCTGGTTAGTTACTGTAATACAAAATGTGCTGAGTTGTACAGTACAAAATGTGTTCTCTCAAATCCTTGCTTTATGTGGGTCCTCAAATTAATTAGGTACAGAAATTTGTTAAGCCAAGATATACTTCTGGAATGATTGTCTGAGATATCAGATTTCAGCCTGATTACATGATAGAGTAATTAAAAACTGAATTAATTATATTTTACATTATTAGATTTAATAGAACTTTCAGATTTCTGGAAACTAACACTGTATAAATATGTAAATATGTAATCCCAGTAACCTTTCTTAGAGTAACTGAATGTCATTTGGGTAGTAGACAAATTCTGTTTATTTCATTGCCCTTTTACTTTCAGAAACTAAGTTATTAAAGCACAAACTGTATGCACAAATGAGGGGAAATTGAAATGCAAACCTCAATGAAGAGACATTTTTGTGCTAAAATTCCTAATTACATAAGTTATTTACAAAAACATTCTTGATTTATGGTGTTCCAAAATTTCCCTTAAAGCACTGAGTTATTAAAACTTCCCACAGTATGGCCAGGCATGGTGGCTCATGCCTATAATCCCAGCACTTTGGGAGGCCAAGGCAGAAGGATCATTTGAGCTTAGGAGGTCAAGGCTACCATGAACTATGATCGTGCCACTGCTCTCCAGCCTGGGTAACAGAGCAAAACCTTGTCTCTAAAAAATAAAAATAAGGCCGGGTGCATTGGCTTATGCTTGTGATCCCAGCACTTTGGGAGGCTGAGGCGGGTGGATCACCTGAGATCAGGAGTTCGAGACCAGTCTGACCAATGTGGTGAAACCCCATCTCTACTAAAATTATAAAAATTAGCTGGGCGTGATGGTGTGCACCTGTAATCCCAGCTACTCAGGAGGCCGAGGCAGGAGAATCGCTGGAACCCAGGAGGCGGAGGTTGCGGTGAGCCAAGATTGCGCCACTGCACTCCAGCCTGGGTGACAGAGCGAGACTCCATCTCAAAAAAATAAATAAATAAATAACTTTCCACGGTATGAGTCTATGTTCTATAGAAATATTGCATTTGCACAGAGGTAAATGTAAAGGGATGTTTGCAGCACCATTGTTTATAATAGAGAAAAGTTGTCAGCAACCTCAGTATATGCCAATTATGGTAAACACATAATTGAATACTGTGCAACCATTACATAGATTGTAGATGATCTGTATATACCAGCGTCAAAAGGTGTTTGTGATAAACAGAGTTAAAAAAAAGCAAGTTATGGAATAGTGTGTACCATCTGTGTTGGTTAGAAAAGCAGAAAAGTATAAGCTCATAGAAAAATATATGGCCAACGTGTTGGCTTATGCCCGTAATCCCAGCACTTTTGGAGGCCAAGGCAAGCAGATCACCTGAGCCCTGGTGTTCGAGACCAGCCTGGGCAACGTGGCGAAACCCCATCTCCACCAAAAAATATACGTATTAATATATAAAGCTAGCCAGGTGTGGTGGTGCATGCCTGTAGTCCCAGCTACTCGGGAGGCTGAGATGGGAGAGTTACTTGAGCCCGTGAAACAGAGGTTGCAGTGACCCAAGGTGGAGCCATTGCACTCCAGCCTGGGCGACAGAGCGAGACTGTGTCTCAAAACAAAACAAAAAAATACTTGGTAGGTTAAGAACAAAGTGTTTATAGGTTTTCTGTGTGTGCTGAAGGAAAGAATAAGGTGAAAGACTTTTACTGTAAGTCTTAGTGGTTTGGCTGATTTTTTTATCTACCTAATACTTGCTTTTTTTTCTTTCCATAGCATTATAGCCTTCAGAAAGGCCAACAAAGTGGGTATTTTCATCAAAGTTACACCACAGCGTGAGGAGGGTGAAGTGACCGTGTGCTTCAAGATGAAGCATGATTTTAAAAACCTGGCAGCCCCCATTCGCCCCATTGAAGAAAGTGACCAGGGAACAGAAGTCATCTGGCTCACCCAGCATGTGGAACTTAGCTTGGGCCCACTTCTTCCTTAAAAGGTTCCACTGGAGGGCAGATCCCAAAGGACAGTATCACCGTAAACCTGCGTTAAAATGTGGAAGCTGCTGCTTCATTAGGCCTTGTTTATAACGATGTACCCATGCACTACGGAATTCTATTGCTAAGAAAGTGGGAGCATAGGCAAGGCATTGGGAACACAGGGTAGCTGCTGTTGCTCTTGCTCTCACCCCTGTTGACACCAGTAAGTCTGTGTCTCCCTCACTGAACCCTGCACGTTGAGTAACAGCAGCATAATTCCATCCTAGGAAAGGGGATGGGTGTTCCTTGGAATGGCATTGTATTTACCACCTGAGAAACTCTGTACTGTCTCTTGATCTGATCTCACTAAGGATCACAATGTCACAGATGAAACTTAAATGATAACCCAAAGGTAGACCTGCTGTTAATGATCCAGCATTGGTCACAATGTACCAACTGCTTTCTGCATTCCGTTAAATATCATCTAACAGTCTAAAACATATCCCTTCATTGCCATAATGGCTGCCATTTTGCCATAGATTTCCATATAACTGAAAAACTGAATTGTCACTTTATCTTTAGTATCATGATGATTGGAAAAACCTGTGAAGTTGTTAAGGCACTCTCATTTGCCCTCTTTTTCTAAGTGAATACAGGACACGTATTAGTTGTTCTTAATTTTTTTCCCAGTAAAATATGGATCTTTTAAGAAGAATTTGAGAAGCAAACAATTACATGTCATGTCAAGGGGGTAGCAGATTCCATTCGTTTTCAATATTGCCACAATACCCAGGGATTAATGCTGCCACAGGGGGGCAATCTTTATTTGTCTTACTTCCTACCCCTTCCCTGTTCTGCCTCTTTAACTCAGTTAAGTTGTTCTGTTTGGGACCTGGAAAAGAACCCAAAGAAAACCTGAGTGGACAGGTTCATTTCTGGAATGCAGAAAACATTTTAAAGGCTAGATTTTTAGAATATTCTCAACTAGCATTCTTTCCATTGATTTGAAGGGGAAATTAACTATTATAATCTCTTGAATCCAAAACTGGATATTAAGAACTTTCCCCCTTACTAAGTTTAAGACTTTTGTCATGTGGTGAGTCAAATAAGACCATTTTGATTGTAAACCATAAAATAGTTCAGCAAGTAGCCCACAGTTCTGGCCTAACAGCAGACTTGCTGTTTTCACTTGGTATCCTGGAGTTGGGTTGCTAACCTTAATTTCTATGATGTTTTCTAAAATGAAACTTGATAAAGTAGACCACCAGCTGCACCGTGTTTTCTGTAAAAGTATTGTTAGTAAGTGGCCAAGAGACTTGAGGAAAATACAGATTTTTTGTTTACCTTGGTCTTGTTTTAAGTCTTAAAAAATTAAAGATAACATTATAATGTAGAATACAGATGGGACATAGTCCTTGTAAGCTTCCCTTGAAAATGTTTTAAATATTTAGGAAGCTTTTAAAAGACACTAAATTGTACTCTAAAAGACACTAAATTGTACTAATTGTACAAAGGTCAAGCCAATTTTATGAAACAGTCCTACAGAGTAATATATGTGATGCAGTGTAAGAAGGAAAATACTCATCTCTAACATTATGGTAATAACATTTAGCCTCTTAGGAGTTGGAGCAGGGGGATGGGTAATTACAGATTTGCAGACTATAGAAAGAGTTTCATTTTTTTGTGACCCCACAGAGTCTCAAATTTTTATTTCACTACCTGCTAGAGCCTACTGTGAAATCACTGCTCCATATTTGCCAGTGGAGGAAATGGGCATAGAGTAGAGAATAGCTTCATATGTTTACACGTTTGCATAGACTACACACATGTCATGCGTTTATGGCAGGTAGCTGGTATTTATTCCCCAAAGTAATAATGTTGAAGTATGGGTCTCATCATTCCCATACACAGAAACACAAAACACTTTGATCATAAACTTTTTTCTTCAGAAGCCAAACTAACTTGCAGAATAATAGAGCCACTGGTTTAATGTTTCCTCAAGATAGGTTTTAGTGTAAGCTAGTATTCTGTGTGTTCGTAGAAATGATTCAATACCTGCAGCTGGTGAATTAGGAATTGTATTTGTTGCCTTTTTTATATTAGATGAGGTGCAAAAATTTTAATGCTAGTCAGTATGCACCACCACAGGAAAGTTAGATCCCATTAGCACTTGAAACTACAGCTTTGGAAACTTAGGCTAAGTTAATTTGGATTTGTTACTTGATTCACCTACTGACCTTTTCTTTTGTTTGAAGTGCTTATCAGCATAATGAGCTAAGTGTCATGCATATTTGTGAAGAAACACCCTTTTTGGTCCCTTTTGGGACAGAGAGGTACTCCTTGATCTTTATGAATGACAGGTTACTGTTTTGCCTTATTGCTTAACTTAATGTAGTGAAATAAAGCAGACAAAGCTTGAGCGTGTCTTTTGTTTGCTCTCATGTAGATACTAAGTAGCATGGCTCAGAGCCAAAAGACAAGCGTGAAGTTAAGAGAGTTGGCTAAGAGAGTTGGTGGGGCATGCTCCCTTCCATTCCTTAAATGAAGTAATCTAAAATCTCTTAGCAGGTTAGTTCACCATAATATATAAGTAGATGTTGCTTTGAGCTTCTTATATACATATTCACAGAACCATTATATAAATGTTGTTAGACCTCTACCAGTTTTTATCCTGGGTCATTGCTTCTAAAGATATCCTTTACAATATACACAGTGGTCTGACTCCACCAGTGGCCACTCATCACCTTCATCTGTACCTTCATAACTGTTCCTTCCCTCCTCTTACTTAGATGAATTATTCATACTCTTCCTGTTGGAACCCAGCCCCACCTCTTAACACTGAAGCTCATCCTCTTACCTATTCACAGATAGCATCGGCAGCTCCCTCCTTCCCTTTTCCATTAGCATGTGATTTCTCTCATCTTAAAAAAGAAATTGGCCTCACTCTCCTCTTCAGCTGCCACTCCATTTCTCCACTCCCTGTACAGCAAAACTCCTCTAACTCTGACTGGGCATGATCGCTCACACCTGTAATCCCAGCGCTTTAGGAGGCCGAGGTGAGAGGATGATTTGAGGCCAGGAGTTTGAGACAAGACTGGAAAACCTAACAAGACCTTGTCTCTGTTTAAGTAAAAGTTTTTTAAAAAACAAAAATGGCCAGGTGCGGTGGCTCACACCTGTAATCCCAGCACTTTGGGAGGCTGAGGCGGGCAGATCACGAGGTCAGGAGATCGAGACCATCCTGGCTAACAAGGTGAAATCCCGTCTCTACTAAAAATAATAAAAAAAATTAGCCGGGCCTGGTGGCAGGTGCCTGTAGTCCCAGCTACTCTCGAGGCTGAGGCAGGAGAATGGCGTGAACCTGGGAGGCGGAGCTTGCAGTGAGCCAAGATCACGCCACGGCACTCCAGCCTGGGCAGCAGAGCGAGACTCCGTCTCAAGGGAAAAAAAAAAAAAAAAACCCTAATTCAACCTTCCAGTTCCTCCATTCTCACCTGAACCCATTCCAGTTAGACTCTCACCGCCACCACTTGGTCGAAACTGCTCTTGTCAAGGTCACCAGCAATCACCACACTTAAATACAGGGTCAGTTCTCAGTCCTTAACTATGCAATTTTTCAGTAGATCTGACAGTTTATCTCTCCCTTCTTGAAAGGCTTTGCTTGGTTTCCAGAACACAACACTCCTGGTTTTGAGGCAGAGCAGGGACCCCCTTTTAGGAGGCTTGTGGGCCCCTCCATGCATGGAAATAAAGGGAAATCTTGAGTTCCTTCAAGGGAATTCTAGGCACCTAGCTAGCCCAAAGAAGTTAATGAGCAACCTGATAAGCAAGAAGTAGCTGAACACAATAGCCAAGGAAGTCAGAGTGAGATGTTTTGTTCCCTATAGAAACTAAGGGTAACATACATGTCCCCAACTTTTCAGAAACCTGAACTCTCACCAGCTTTAAACCTCAGATAAGGGGAAACTGAGAACTGAACTCTGACCACTGTTCATTGTTCTAAGTTGCTTCCTGAGGGGCCTGGAGGAAGTCATGTCCACCGGCCAGAGCTAACATTCTTTTCTGTGGATCCCAAGTTTAGACAGCTTCACCGCCTTAATCATAAATCAAAAAATCTTTGAAACCACCTATGACCTTTGAGTCCACCCCCATCCCAGCTTTGAGATGTCCCACCTTTTTAGGTCAAACCAATGTATAGCCTCTATGTATTGATTTATGACTTTGCCTGTAACCTCTCTTTCCCTGCCTTTAAAAACCCGTAGCTTTAAGCCATCTGGGAGTTCGGGTCTTAAGCATGATCTGTGCAATTCTCCTTGCATGGTGCCCTGCAATAAAATGCCTCACTTTCTCTTGCTACTAGCCTGATGTCAATGGCTTTGTGGCACTGGGTGAGCAGACCCCAGTTTAATTCAGTAACAATTTTCTGTCTACCCTGCTAGAAAGTTTCCTTCCGTATTCTTTGCTAGTTCTTTCCCATCTTCCCAACCTTGCAGTATACCAAATCTCATTTCTCACACTTCTTTCCTCTTTACACTCATTTAATGAACTTGCCCAGTTTTGGGGGGCAAGAATGCCGAGAAAAGATCTATTCCTAAGGCCCACACAGGGCCTGCTGAGGACTGAGGCTGAATTGAATTAGAACAACAGAGAACCCCTTTACTTCTACCCCGCTACCAGCCTACCAAGCAGCTAGTAACAAGCATCCATTTCTAGGGGATGGGCAAAGGCCTAGAAAGTTAGTCACCACTGTGCAGGTAGGCAGGACAGCTGTAAGCTGAGGATGAAGCATGAACACTTGAGTTCTTCAGCCCCAACCTACAGTATAGAATAATGCTAGAGTAGGTGAAATCTGTGGTACATTGAAAGCAACCATAGCAATAAAACCCAAGCCCAGGTCAGGTGCGGTGGCTCAAGCCTGTAATCTCAGCACTTTGGGAGGCTGAGGCAGGTGGATCACCTGAGGTCAGGAGTTTGAGACCAGCCTGACCAACATGGAGAAACCCCATGTCTACTAAAAATATAAAATTAGTCGGGTGTGGTGTTGCATGCCTGTAATCCCAGCTACTCAGGAGGCTGAAGCTGGAGAATCGCTTGAACCCAGGAGCTGGAGGTTGTGGTGAGCCAAGATCGCACTATTGCACTCCAGTGTAGGCAACAAAAGCAAAACTCCATCTCAAAAACAAAAACAAAAAACAAAAAAAAAACCCAAGCCCCGCTTGATTCCTAACCAGATTGACCAAACCCCATGCAGACGGTCTAACAGAACACACTTGCCCATTTCCGAGCATTAATATGATTTACCTCATTCTCTTCTGTTATATAAGCAATGACTTGGCCGGGCACGGTGGCTCACGCCTGTAATCCCAGCACGTTGGGAGGCCAAAGCAGGCAGATCACTTGAAGCCAAGAGTTCAAGACCAGCCTGGCCAACATGGTGAAACCCCACCTCTACTTAAAGTACAAAAATTAGCCAGGTGTAGTGGTGCAGGCCTGTCGTCCCAGCTACTCAAACCCAGATGTTTGAACTAATGGACAGAGACTTTAACATGTTGTTGGGGCTCAGAAAATGATACCCCAAATTAAGGCTCTGAAGCAGCCTCAGAAGCAAAAGTTTCTCTCTGACCTTCTGCCTTCCTGTCTCTGGCCCTTCATTCTTCCCCAAGCCTAGCCACAGACACTGAATCCCTTTTCCTCAAGGTGGGTCATAGAGAGAACCCCTTTTCCCCAAAGCCAGCCATAAAATGTAAAATACTACTCTAGGCCGGGCGCGGTGGCTCACACCTGTAATCCCAGCACTTTGGGAGGCAGAGGCAGGTGGATCACAAAGTCAGGAGTTCGAGACCAGCCTGACCAACATGATGAAACCCTGTCTCTACTGAAAATACAAAAATTAGCCAGGCATGGTGGTGCGTGCCTGTAATCCCCGCTACTCAGGAGGCTGAGGCAGGAGAATTACTTGAACTTGGGAGGTGGAGGTTGCAGTGAGCCGAGATCGCACCATTGCACTCCAGCCTGGGCGACAGAGCAAGACTCTGTCTCAAAAAAAAAAAAAAAAAAAAAAACTACTCTAACTTCCGCCTTGCTTTTGTGTAAAAACTGGCTCTGAATAAATTATCTGAGCTACTTTGTTTTAGATTGTAGGTCATAAGACCCCCATTCCAAAGACGGTCCTGTACATACCCAGAAGGAAGGAATGCTGCCGAGAGAGGCCAAGAATCTAGACAGACAGGCCTCGCTGGGTTTCCCCACTCAGTCTATTAGCGCTAAATCAGTACGCTTTTTGTCCAATCCTATTTCTACATAGCTGTCCATACTTTGTTGAACCTAGGCATATAAATGGACAATTTCCCATCTGTGTCTTCATTCTGAAGGCTCCTATGTCAGGTAAAACTATGATCAAATAAATTTGTATGTCTTTTCTCCTATTAATCTGCCTTTTGCTAGTTAATTTTCAGTGAATCTTAAGAGGGCAAAGGGGAACTTTTCTGTTGGCCCCTACAATGTTAAAAAATCTGGTGGAAAACATGGAGCCAGGTGCCATGGCTCACACTTGTAATCCCAGCACTTTGGGAGGCCAAGGCTGGAGAATCACTTGAGCCCAGGAGTTCCGAGACCAGCTTGGGCAACATGGTGAGACCCTGTCTCTACAAAAAAGTTAAAAATTAGCTGGGCACCGTGGCCTGCTTCTATAGTCACAGCTACTTGGGAGGCTAAGGCTGGAGGATCCCTTGAACCCAAGAATTCCAGGTAACAGTGAGCTATGATCATGCCTGGGTGACAAAGTGAGACCCCCATCTCGAAAAAAAAGAAAAGGAAAATATGGATTATATATATTGTGAAAGGAAATTAAATCTTGGGACCCCAAACTCATTAAGCCAAAGGGAAAAGTCGAGCTGGGAACTGGGTCACACAAACCTGCCTCCTGCTTTTGGTTCCTAAATAAGATGGCTATAAGATGAAAAGCTACATGCCTCCCCCATATGTTGCCCAGTAATTCAGACCCTTCCATTAAACCAGCAAACCTTTTTCATTTACAATCTCATTGGACATGTTTGGTATTCCAGTGCTATGATCACTTAGCTTCAATCTTTGTACCACAGATAGGTATCGAAGATGTTATATGGCATATAGAGGCCATAACGAATTACACCCAAAGGCCCTAAATGGTAGCTGCATGAGTACCTCTTTGCTAAGCAATGAGGTCATGCTTATGAGGAAAGCTGTGTTGCAAAACTATGTGGCTTTAGATATACTCATGGCAGCACAAGGGGAACCTGTGCCACCGTAAAAACTGAATGTTGTGTGTATATTCCAGATGAATCAAAGAACATAAACTGAATTATGACCAGTATGAAAACCCAGATAAGCAACTGTCAGATCCAAAACCCTCACTAATCCATTGCTTGAGTGGTTGGTTTGGATCCTGGGGAATTTAGTGGCAGAAGCTATTGCTTATAATAGAAGGAATAATTTATGTTCTGTCCTGTTTCTGCTTACAATGTTGTTATAGTACGTGTTTGCAAATAAGTCAATATGCAACCGAAAGGGCTAAGGTAATGATTGCCCAGAGAATTGCTTTAATTGAGGAGGCAGTAATATAATAAAGCTTGACCCAGCTTCCAGGTTTGCTTTCCTTTTGTTGCTATAAATCTGGCCTAGTCCCTATATATATTTTTTCATCTCTTTTCTTTTTTCCTTTCTAGGAAAGTAAAATTCCTCACTAGGAATTTCCTTGTGGGCAAAATATGGGGGAGGCATGTAGCTTTCCATCTTGTAGCCATCTTATTTAGGAACCAAAAGCGGGAGGCAGGTTTGTGTGACCCACTTCCCAGCTTGACTTTTCCCTTTGGCTTAATGAGTCTGGGGTCCCAAGATTTAATTTCCTTTCACATTTCCCCCTTTTTTTCTTTAACATCTTTTGGAGAAAGCATTTTAAAAGGAATATGTGTTCCTGGCCTCAGTTCGCTTTTTCCTCCTTTTTTGAGCTGGTTTCTTGTCGCTAGGATGGTTTATTCCAGGAAATTCAGGTCTCACGTTACTAGGAAGGCTCATTCCTAGGAAGTCATGTTCCATGTTGCTAGGAAGGCTCATTCCTAGAAGTCATGTCCCACAAAGATTAAAAAATAAATTGGGGGAGGAAAGAGGGAAAAAGGAAGGAAAGGAGATGATTCTGAGGGCTCCAGACTTAAAGGAGAAAAGGGTCCTATCTCTTTTCTCTTAATGTTAAATGTTATTTTGTTTGTGGAATGTTCACTCTATAATATATATGTTGATTAAGTATACCATTATGCATGATTTGCAATATTGATTGACCTGTGGAGTGCCTTGAGCCTGTGTGTCCAAGACTCTGAGTGCTGAGTGAGTGGGAAGTACTAAGGAGAATTGCTTTCTTGGAAACTCCATGTAGTTCGTGGCTTTTGTGATTGAAATAGCATCAGTAAAAGTCTGGCATTGTGGAAAAACACAAATGTACGTGGACTCTGTTATTTCTGACCTTGCACTCCTCACAAGGCATGTGAAATTGGAGTCACAGATGTAGAAACCAGGCAGAAGACAGTCTGAAGAGATGATACTTGAGAATTTTCCAAATATAATAAAAGACAACAAATCACAGATCCAAGAAGCTCAGATAAACCCAAGGACTTTCTTATAAAGGAAAAGATATACTTACCATATGATCAAATAATCTCACTCTAAGGCATTTACACAAGCAAAATGAAAACCAATGTCCATACAACGATCTGTATGTGAATGTTTATAATGGTTTTATTTATATTCACTAAAATCTGGGAACAACCCAAATATCCAGCAACTGGCAAGTGAATTGTATGATATATCCATACAATGGAATTCTACTCAGTAATACAAAGGAAGAAATTATTGATACATGTAATAATATGGATGAATCTCAACTACAAAATACTAAGTGAAAAAATATCAGATCCAAAAGGATATATAGGATTCCACTTATGTGACATTCTGGAAAAGGCAAAACTAGGGACAGAACACAAATTAGTGATTGCCATGGTTTGAGTATGGGATAAGTGGACTAACTACAGAAACAAGGGAACTTTGGGGATGACAGACAATTCCATATTTGACTGTAAGTGAATGTATGTACAAAATTCAAAACTAAAAAGGATAAAACTTTATGTAAATTATACTTTAAATCAACTTTTTTTTTTAATGAGGTGATTTAAATAAATGTGTTAGGTAGCTTGATGACACGGTAAGTATGAAAGTGGTACCAGAATGGCTTGAAACTCATAAAATATTGGCAGAGTGGTTATGAGTTATTCCAAAAATCAAATAATGCATATGTTGATTCGTAAGACCCTTGTCATTTCAGAAGCTGGAAATGAAACAGTACTAATGAATTTGTGGCTTCACCACTTTTTAGCTCCACAACCAGGAGCTATATCAGGAGAGATTAGGTTAATCTCTCTAAACCTGTTTTCTTTTCTATAAAAGAGGGATCATCATACTTGCCTACAGGGTAGAGTTACCAGATAAAATACAGGACGATTGGTTAAGTGATGTGAATTTCAGGTCAACCACGAATCCTACTTTAGGACGAGTAGGTACCATATATATTTATAATTAAAAAGCGATTCGCCGTTAATCTGAAATTCAACTTTAGACGTTCTGTAATTCGTGCGTGTGTGTGTGTGCATGTGTGTGTGTGAGTGACAGAGAGAGAGAGAGAGAGAGAGAGAGAGAGAGAGAGACAGAATCAGAATCTGGCAGCCCTACAGAGAGCCCTACAGAGAGGTTATGCGAATAAATAAGACACTGGAACCGCAAGACGTTCGCCCAGAGTTTGGCATAATAAGCGCCTCAGTGGTAGCGAACGCTATTTTAACCCCAGCCTCTGATGCATTACGTCTTCCTTTATTCTTTCGCCCAATTGTTAAATGAATCAACTGTACGTGTGGCCCTTCATTCCAAGCAGGCAAAAACTCGAAGGAAGCATCCAGGTGCATTATACCAGGACCCCAATTGTTAAGCTTAGAAATTCCAAGAGCGGGCGACGTCATGACGCAAAGGCCCCGCCCCGGAAGAAGCCCTAGACGCGTAAATAAGACGCCGACCGGCGCGGCGCTAGCCTCGGGGCTTGACGGGATTGTGGCGGTCCTCTCTCCCAATTCGGAAGCTACAGCTACCTCCGGACGCTCTCAAGATGGCGACCTCTCTGGGTTCCAACACCTACAACAGGCAGAACTGGGAGGATGCGGTGAGTGTGCCTGCCGGAGGAGGATGGAAGGAGGAGGCGAAGCCGCGCACCTTGCAAGCTGGCAGGACAGGGCCTGCGGCGCGGCCGAAGGAATACCGGGGAGGAGCCAGCGCGGCGGCCTAGCTTGGCCGGAGCAGGAGGGCGGAGGGCGATCCTCCTGCGGGCTTGAAGGGAGGGGGCTTAGCCAGGGTCCCGGGACCAGCACCCTTTCCATCCCTGCCCCCTCCAGCCTATTAGAGCTGGTTTTCTTTTCTCCCGCCGCCTGCCGGAAGTGCAGACAGCGCCCCCTCCCGCGATCGGGTCGTGATGGACTTCGGGTTCCTGCCGTGCCTAGTTCCCCACCCTCGCTTCCCGCCCCCTCGCCACCCCAAGTGTCACTGAGGTGTCAGGGTCTTCGGAGGGTGGTCCTCAACCAGATTTCCCATTTTCACCAGGACTTCCCCATTCTGTGCCAGACATGTCTTGGAGAAAACCCATATATCCGAATGGTGAGTGATCGCGTGTGAAACGAGTTATTCATGTCCTGTCGATGTTGTGGTACTTGCACACTGTGAAGTGTTTCTCTTAGACAAGCAGAAAAAATGATGCTCTTTTACTAACGCGAAGTGCTGGACGACTTGCAAAGAACTGTCATGTGTATTCTCTTACGAATCCGGTAACACTCCTGTAATGTAGGGGTAATAACGATAGCTAGTATTTGTTGAGCATTTACCTAGGAAATAGGTCTGTTGACCAGAAGGTGAGAGCGTTTGTGTCTTTTCATACAATAGTAAGGAATGGAGCTGGGATTTAAGTTCACATATTCTGGCTCTAGGAATGTCAGCATGATAGGAGGAGAACCAGAACTAGAAACTAGGTTTCCTGAATCCTGGTCAAATGCCTTTTGGCCAGTGTACTTTATCTCTTTAAAGTAAGCATTCCCCCTTTGTTACAAACTAGGGTAAAATTAGAACCAGTTAACAATAATAAGGTTAGGGCTGTATTATTGTGTAGTCGTAGAGGTGTTGATATGTTAGTATGTTCACGATGTTTGAATGGTTCAAGATGTTTGAATAGTTCTGTTTAAACAGAACATTTACTATATTCCGGGCATTGGCACAGGACAAGTCTACAGTAGCTACCTTTTGACTAAACTTTGTAAAGTGGGCGGGCCACAGCTGTATCCTCTCTGATTTAGGGATTGTGGAAAGCATTAGGAATGTTAGTTCTTGGGAGTGAACTTGGGAGCCAAAAATGAACCTAAGAGTTGTGGCTGTGGAAAGACACTCACTTACCTAGCATTAGATGCATATACTCTATTTCTTTTTTCTGTAGAGACAGCATCTCGCTATGTTGCCCAGGCTAGTCTGGAACTCCTGGGCTCAAGCAATCCTTCCACCTTGGCCTCTCAAAGTGTTGGGATTACAGGCGTGAGCCACTGCCACCCAGCCCAGATCCATATACTCTTGAGATGTTATCACTTATAATATGTTGTTATAGTATGTTCCCTACCCTCTTCCCAAAAAAGGTTGGGTTTTGGGTTTTGTTGTTGCTGTTTTTCTCTCTCTAGGATGCCAGGGATTTCCAGACACATTTCTTGGGTTATGTTTAAGGAAAGAGTAGACATCTGGCTTTTTTCTTTCTGTAACTCCAGTTCTTTTCTATTTTTTTTCTATTATAGACCAAAGAAAAGTATGGGAAGGAATGCAAAGTAAGTATGTCTGTTAAAGAGTAATGATTTCTGTTTCATTTTTCTTTTCTCTACCAAATTAGCCTTCAGCTTACTAAGTTTTGAGGTCTTCCAGTAAAAATCAGTGCTATACAACTTTTTATGTATTACTGATATATTCATTGGCTGGCAACTGTTTATGTGGGAGGTAAGAAAATGAACCCTCTAATGTAGAGATTCTTACGGTGTCAGTGGATGGGCACTGGAGGAGTTTGTACACCAGGTGGTGTATGACTGTCCACTCGAGCATTTTAGCTGAGGAGGAAGGTCATTCTTGTCAGAAGCTTCTCAAAAAATTACATGACACTCCCCACTCCCCCTAAAAAAGATTAAGGTTCAGATTATTATTGGTGCTTAGCTCTAGGATGGGAAGAACTTTGACCCTTTGGCTATTTCATTTCTGTACTCTGAATTTTTGCTGGAGAAGGATGCTGAAAATTGTATTGAAACATCAAATCAACTAGATGATTGCTAAGGTCTCTTCTAAATCCTACATTCAGGGATCCTTTTTTGAATGCCCCGTTGTTATCAGATCTCCAGATTGCCCAGATCAGGACCATTGACATTCTATGGCTCTTGCTTTGTGTTCCAGATCTGTGCCAGGCCATTCACAGTGTTTCGCTGGTGCCCTGGAGTCCGCATGCGTTTCAAGAAGACTGAAGTGTGCCAAACCTGCAGTAAATTGAAGAATGTCTGTCAGACCTGCCTCTTAGACCTAGAGTATGGTATGTTTGACCTGTCCAATAAATCTGAAAGTGTGCAGGTGCCTAAAACTACAAGTCAGTCTTTTGTCTCCCACTTCGCACCCTAGCTCTGGTTCTGATTTCACTTTGGAATGTCTGCCGTGGTCTGCTTTTCCCAGGAAAAGAACCATAATTAGGCCACTCTAGAGTCCTGAACAATAGTAGGAACTTAAGGAAAAGTTGGGAATTAATCAAAAGTGGCCTAAACCTTCATCTCTGTAGCCCAAGTGAGGTAAAAGGCGTTGATCCTATGATAGATAATTTATTTGCCTTAGGCTTCTTTCTTGATCCAGAGCTTTTTTCCACCATCCCAATCAGAAGCTCACAGGGTAATTGTGCTTTATTTTATTTTATTTTTTGAGTTAGGGTCTCACTCTGACACCCAGGCTAGAGTACAGTGGTGTGATCACAGCTCACTGCAACTTCGAACTCCTGGGCTCAAGGGATCCTCTTGCCTCTGCCTCCTGGTATACCACCACACCCAGTGCACGTGTGTGTGTGTGTCACTATTTTGCCCAGGCTGGTTTTGAGCTTCTGGCCTCAAGCAGTCCTCCCACCTTGGCCTCCCAGAGCCACTATAGCCAGCCTAATTGTGCTTTAGACTTTTATTTCAATTGTGTTGTTAGAACTGATATATTGCTACTGTTTCAGAGTAACTGCTTTTGGGAGTAATTTTTTTTTTAACCATAGGTGACTGTTTTTCAGAAAGATAATTTTTCAACAAGAGTTTTTACTATTAAAGGAAAGGGAAAAATATATGAGTTTATGTATGTTAAGTTCATTAGAGTTACTCTTCTAGTCAGAGTCCTGGCCACATTTTATGTAATATTATTTATATGTTTGTTAAGGAGGCGTCTGGTCCTGGAGTACAGTGACCCTTAGATGACTGTGACTATCCAGAGGATCTGTAAGACTAACCTAGAAAGAAACCACTTTTACATTTACTTTAAATAAATCATGTTGTAATAAAAACTAGGAGCTAATTTACAGGTTGAATATGACCATGGGCACAGTTTGTTCATCTAAAAATTTTCTTTTATAATTTTTTTGTTTTTTGTTTTTGAGACAGGGTGTCACTCTGTTGCCCAGGCTGGAGTGCAGTGGCATGGTCATGGCTCACTGCAGCCTTAACCTTTCCAAGCTCAGGTGATCCACCTCAGCCTCCTGGGTAGCTAGGACTACAGGTGCATACCACCACACCCAGCTAATTTTTGTATTTTTTGTAGAAATGGGGTTTCACCACGTTGACCAGGCTGGTCTCGAACTCCTGGACTCAAGCTATCTGTCAGCTCCAGCCTTGCAAAGTGCTAGGATTACAGGCATGAGCCACCACACCCAGCCTAAAAGATTTTTTCTAAAGCATTAATTTCATCAAATTTCCTGACAGTTCAGGAATTTGGACAATTTCTTAGCATGCTGTGTAGCAGAAGTAACCTGATGGTGCTAAAGAGTTTGAATAAAAACATAGTAAAGTCTCTGGTACTAAATAGGAAAGAGGAGAAGGGAAAGATGATGTATTCTGTGTGCATGGTTAGTATGGATATGTTTTAAAATACATCTGAGGTCTTTTTCCTCTTTTTTTGTACCAGGCCTGCCCATCCAGGTTCGTGACGCAGGATTGTCTTTTAAAGATGACATGCCAAAGTCAGATGTCAACAAAGAGTACTATACACAGAATATGGAGAGAGAGGTATGCTGCCACTTTTTGGATAAAAATCCTAATGAATTGACACAGTCTGTATAATTTATCTTTTGAATTTGTCATCCCCACTTAGATTTCTAACTCTGATGGAACACGGCCAGTTGGCATGCTGGGGAAAGCCACATCTACCAGTGACATGCTGCTCAAACTGGCCCGGACCACACCCTACTACAAAAGGAATCGACCCCACATTTGCTCCTTCTGGGTGAAAGGAGAGTGTAAGAGAGGAGAGGAATGTCCATACAGGCAAGAGCGAGCCTCATTTTCAGTATTTGCTTTCAGATGATTTCTCATCTAAGAAGTGGGAGGTCCTAACTTAAACTGTTTCTGCTTTAAAATCTAAAGGTCATACAACTAATGTGGTATACCTCATGTCTTAGAACTATGAAATTTAGAAGAGCATGAATAAATTGTAGTTTTTACTTACAATTGAGCCTTGGAAACTAAATTGCTATGCCATACAATATAGATGCTGACCCTAAACATTTCTGCCTGAGAAGTAAATCTTCACTGCCATGGTTTAAATGAGTTGACTCTCAATGTATAGTTGAAGTCAAAGTAAGGTCAGACTTCTAAAGGGTGTGTATGTTTTGGTTAAGACTGCCAAGCATCTGGATTAGGAGTTCTTAATTTGGGATTGGTTAACCCCACCCCCTAAAAAATAATGTATGTGCTTTCTCTGGGGCGAGGTTCATAGCTTTAATCAGATTCTCAGTGGAATACAGCACCCCAAATGTGTTAAGAATCATTGACCTAGAGAGGGGTAATCATGTGTCCCTTTCTGGGGGGCGGGAGGGGGTGGATCATGTCAAGAGTATTTATTTATAAGGAAAGTTTGGCATCCTAGATGGCCTAATGGCTTTTAGGAGGCTAGTAATTCCTTCCGTGATACAGTAAATCTCTTGGTATTAGGTCTATTTTGGTAATTATATTTTGGTAGAAACCATAGTTTCTAGTTCAAAAGGCACTTCAGAATATGTATCTAGGACTTTAATATGTAGCTACTCTTGGAAGATAATCATTTTTTCACCTTCGTTTCACCTTTATGCCTTGTTTTTTTCTTGAATCATAGACATGAGAAGCCTACAGATCCAGATGACCCCCTTGCTGATCAGAATATTAAAGACCGTTATTACGGAATCAATGATCCTGTAGCTGACAAGCTTCTAAAGCGGGCTTCAACAATGCCTCGGCTGGACCCACCAGAGGATAAAACTATCACCACACTATATGTTGGTGGTCTAGGTGATACCATTACTGAGACAGATTTAAGGTTTGTGGGTATAAGTTAGAGAGTTATTTTTGCCTTTAACTGCCCTGGAATAATTTATTTGCAAAAACTGCAAGAATGATCATTCTGTACAAAATACATTTTTCTGTAGTCTCTCTATTGTTAGTATCATGCTGACTGGAATTTTTGTAAAATTGTCCTTTATGGTGCCACAGTAATAATGTGCTTATGTGGCTGGGCACAGTGCCTCATGCCTGTAATCTCAACACTTTGGGAGGATCTCTTGAACCGAGGAGTTTGAGACCAGCCTGAGCAACATAGTGAGACCACATCTCTACTAAGAAATCAAAAAAATTAGCCGGGTGTGGTGGCATGTGCCTGTAGTCCCAGCTGTTTGGGAGGCTGAGGCAGGAGGATTGCTTGAGCTTGGGAGATCAAGGCTGCAGTGAGCTGTGATTGCACCACTGCACTCCAGCCTAAGCAACAGAGTGAGACCCTGTCTCAGAACCAAAGCTCAAAGAGTGCTTATCCATCCTGGCATATGGTAATAATGACATAGGATTCTATTTGACCTAACAGCCAAGTTTTAAAGGATGGCACGCATCCAAGTATGATGAATTATGTAGAGGAGGGAGAGCTTTGCGATGATAAAACTCTTGTGGTTTAAATTGTTGGTTTTTAAAGAGACTGGCATTTGATAAATTTGTGTTATTTTTGGCTTGTATTATGCTTGGCTAGATGAGACTTCTGGGCAGATAGTAATGGAAATTACCTCTTCCAAAGAGATAAAGTGGAGAAGAAACTCCTGTAAGTTTATAACCTGCCCTTGGTAGCCTGTCTCCATTAAACCCTATCTAAGTGAGCTAGACAACCCCCAGGGGTTGGCAGACTTTCGCTGTAAGAGGCTGGATGGTGAATATTTTAGGCATTGTGGGCCACATGCAGTCTCTGTCACGTATTCTTGTTTTAAACTTTCTTGGCTCATGGGCCTTGAGAGCTATGGTTTGCCAACCTCTTATCTAGGGTTTAGGGTCTTTAAAGAACCTATTAGAACCCCCTTTCCTCCATGGGAAAAAACCCTGAGATGTTTGAGAACCTTTATTTACTCATTATTTTTCTTTCCTTCTCTCAATCAGCAGCACCCACAGTAGGACAAGATATGGGGTGGAGACCTGCGGGTAGTTAGGCAGATAACCTTGGGGCCCACCTGCCTAGTGGTGTGTCAGTGAAAGTTAATCCATTTTCAGTCTCCTGGGTACATCTTTTTTAACTCCCACTTTCATTTTTCTCTGCCTGTTTCCCTTCAGAAATCATTTCTACCAGTTCGGAGAGATCCGGACGATCACTGTTGTGCAGAGACAGCAGTGTGCTTTCATCCAGTTTGCCACACGGCAGGCTGCAGAAGTGGCTGCTGAGAAGTCCTTTAATAAGTTGATTGTAAATGGCCGCAGACTGAATGTGAAATGGGGAAGGTGAGAATTAAACTATTTTTAAGTGACATTTTGCTTAGATTTTTAAGAAACTATTTCATTTTCTGGAGACTAGTAGGCTTTTGGTTAACAGGCTTAAATGAACAGGATCTTTAAAGAGATCTTTCAAAGATCACTCTCTATGTGATACTTGATTCCTGTGGATGTTGGGAGAACCCTGCTTTGGAAATGTATTCAGGGGGTTGGTGTATAATCTACTCCTTTGAAGGTTCATGTTTTTGTGACTAGCTATTATAGGCCAAGTATAATGCCAGGCCATGAAAGGTGAATTTTAGGGTTTATAAATGAATTAGACCTAGATTCTGCCCTTAGAGGCTGATTGTCCAGTGGAGAAGATAAAACAGGGAAGAATCGCTATTTTAAGTTTAAAAGTGATGATTGCATAAGAGAGACACAGGTGAAAGACCCAGTTCAAAGGGGGAACATGTCTCCAACTTGGAACCAGGGAAGTGATGGCTAATAGCAGCATCTGCCTTTGTGGAGCGCTCCCTATGTGGTAAGCACTGTGCTAAACACGTATGTGTTGCCTTTTCTGGTCCTTATGATAGTTCTAGCAGCTTTTGAACCCAGGTCTTTTCTGGTGTCAAAACCTTTGCTCTTGTTCACTGTGCACAGTGGCATTTATGGGAAAAGAGTGTGTGCTGAGGAGGAGGTAGAGCGAAGGAACTCCATTGGACTGGGGAATGTAAGAAGCAGAGGTGTGAGATAAGGTGGGCCAGAGTGCCGACTGTATGCATGTGTGTTTCCCAGATCCCAGGCAGCCAGAGGAAAAGAAAAAGAGAAAGATGGAACTACAGACTCTGGGATCAAACTAGAACCTGTTCCAGGATTGCCAGGAGGTGAGTGCAGACTCCCTGCTGACTTCAGAAGCTCTTTCTGCCCTGATGTTCCTATTTTGGAAGATGGGACCCAGGTCTGGTTCATGTTGCCGCTCTACTCTCCCAGTAGGACCTCTGAGAATGTAAAGGTGGTAGAAACAGCGTTGCACAATTGTTCTCCCCTCTATGTGTTGACTATTTTCTCTCCTCCAGCTCTTCCTCCTCCTCCTGCAGCAGAAGAAGAAGCCTCTGCCAACTACTTCAACTTGCCCCCAAGTGGTCCTCCAGCTGTGGTGAACATTGCTCTGCCACCGCCCCCTGGCATTGCTCCACCCCCACCCCCAGGTAACTTCCATCTTCCTTCTTAGCCCAGAGAAATCCTTGTGAAAGTTCTGTCTCATAAACCTCACCATCATGTTCAACACATCCAAATCCTGTGAGTTTGCTCTGTAGAAGTCTACCAGTAAAGTTGATCTGTTGGGATTTCTGAAATTTTTCTTTCTCCTGCTCTGCCGAGGAGAAGAAAGGGGCCAGTTTTCTAAAGATCCGCGTATATGTGTCAGCAGAGTAAGATTATTAGATTACAAAGATCTATCACCAATTTGTTCCCTTTTCTAAACTAAATGCTAATGGATGCCCTAGAGCACTATTGCCCAGTGTGGGCTGTGAGCGGGTGTCATTTTACAAAGTGTTTATCACCTGTCTGCCACAAGATCAGGAGCTTGTGCCAAAATGTAATCAGTGAACCCCTTCCTTCATTGAGAAAGTCTTGTTACCAAAAAAACTGTCAGATGAACTAAACTGTGCCTGGTCGTATAATTTACATTTTGACTCAAGCTCTTTGTCTTGAGTGGCCAGAAATAGGTGGAGGACTGGCACTTCGTATAGCACTGCTGTAGACAGTGTTAACAGTGGAAGGAAATCACAGGTAGCCAGTTCTCCTGTGGCAGAGAGCCCATACTCTGAAGAGAATCTGGTTTCTGAGCACCCTCCATTCTGGTGTCAAGCATTGAGGTTAATGATGACACAGTCTTTGCCATCAGCCTGATTTCTTTCTTATCTCCCAAATCCTGACTGAATCCTGTCTGGTAGGATTTGGCATGTTGGATACATAGCAGAGACTCAGATGACATACTAGGCGATACCTTGAGTGCTGTGGAGTTTTTTGGACTGTGGGGGAAAGGTTTCTAAAACCAAGGAAATAACAAGTGGAAGTAAGTTTGTGAACTGACATTTGCTTAAGCCCCGTGTCAACCTTGATTTATGTGTAGGTGGTTTTAACCTTAGCAAGATTGAGAGGTTTGAAAGGTTATCAAGGAAACTACCAGCCTAACACATTTGTTCTCTCGTATCTGCAGGTTTTGGGCCACACATGTTCCACCCAATGGGACCACCCCCTCCTTTCATGCGGGCTCCAGGACCAATCCACTATCCTTCTCAGGACCCTCAGAGGATGGGAGCTCATGCTGGAAAACACAGCAGCCCCTAGCACCTTGTCACCACTCTGGGGCTCTGTGGAAGAAAGGGCACTTAAAACTCCCAGTAAATCTTGGAATAAATATATTTTTCCTTCCCTTGTAGTTTCCATGGTAGCTGAATGTGCTCAGATGTGAGCAGTCAGAGACTGACAGCCATGCTTTCCTATACTTGTTCAAAGGATCGATGGACCGTAAATAAGCTGCCATTAACACATCTGGTTACTGCTGTAACATGACTAATAAAACCGAACGCCTGTTCCCCTTACCCGTGTGGGGGACACGCAGATGAGTGAATTGGAATGTCCAGCAGAGTTACCCTCCCAATTATATGTTCATTTTGTATATTTTTTGGTCGGGGGAAAAATTGACCTGCAGTAAAAAAACCTTTGACCATTTTTATGTCCATTGGATACTTTCCTTTTTATCATCTTAAAAAAAGATAACTAGTACTAATCATTGTAGTGGCCTAAGTGTGATTTAACTCTTGAAGTCACACCCTCCGAAAGATGAGTAGAAACCAGCACCAGCACAGCCCAGATCTTCTCTTTCCTCTCCTTTTCCTCATTTATTCCTAAAGGAATCTGACCATTTTACGTCTCTACGGCCCAAAAAAAGACAAAAATAAAAATTCCTTTTTATTCCTGTCAACTGGATGGAAACACAAATTTCATGGAGCTGTGTACCATCGAAGAAACCTGGTGTCTGGCATGAAATTACTGTAAAGAACTTCCTGTAAAACACGTTCTTTAACAAACTGAAATGAAAAGCATTGGAGCGTCTGAATGAAAGACGTGACCTCCTGCTGGGACTCTGATGGTCTTCAGCATTCACCTTCGTGTGTCTTCAGTGTCTCATTGTCATCCCTGCTTCTGTTTGGTCTTAGAGTGTTTGGATATAACTGAATTGTAGATGGTAAAGGAAATTTGATGTGTTTTTTGTTTTTAAATAATTAAAACGGGTCAATTTTTCACATGTTGTCATGGGTTTATTTCTAGATTCCTCTTTATCCTTTGGTAGCTGAACTCGAGGTCAGTGGAAGTTATTTAATAGAAATGAGTTATATATTGTAAATTTTTTAAATGTTGCTTTAGACTTTTGATTATATCCATTCCGTGATGATTTACTTATTTTTTTTTAACCTCAGCCTATTCTTAGGTTGATTCCATGATGATTTAAAAGGCTCAGACCTCTTTAGTATTTATCTCAAAGGGTGATTGTGAGGTTGAAATAAGATAGTGCACAGAAACACTTAGCACAGAGCCTGGTGTAGGGTAGTTGATAAAGGGTAACTTTAAGAAGTCACCCAGCTGGGTGCATGCCGATAGTGCCAGCTACTTAAGAGGCTGAGGTGGGAGGATTGCTTGAGGCCAGCAGTTCAAGGCCAGCCTGGGCAACATGGTGAGATCCTGTCTCTAAAAAATAAAATGTAATAGGTCATCCTTAGGCAAGTCATTTTAAAAGGAAACATTTATTATAAATCCATTTTTCCTGAAGCCAAATTTTTTTTTTTTTTTTGAGATGGAGTCTCACTCTGTCACTAGGCTGGAGTGCAGTGGCACGATCTTGGCTCACTGCAACCTCTGCCTCCTGGCTTCAAGCAATTCTCGTGCCTCAGCCTCCTGAGTAGCTGGGATTACAGGCATGCACCACCACACCTAGCTAATGTTTATATTTTTAGTAGAGATGGGGTTTCGCCATGTTGGCCAGGCTGGTCTTGATCTCCTGATCTCATGATCCGCCCACCTTGGCCTCCCAAAGTGCTGGGATTACAGGAGTGAGCCACCGCGCCCGGCCATTTCCTGAAGCAAATTTTATGCTACTTTTATCTAAAATGTTTACTTCCAAGAAGGACATGCCCCATATGGCACCCTGTTTTAGATTTGCAGAATTTTTTTTCCTAGAGAACTTAAATTGCCTTTTTTAAAGATTTAAAAATCTATACTTAGAAATTTTCATTTTATTGCTAGTAATGTCAAATGTGAAGCAATGTACGATACTTCCAAGTATCTTTGTATCCTTTTGGGTCTTTTTTGCCTGCTTTTGAGCATGTAAAGGATTTTTAGCCAATTTGTAAATGAGATGTGAATCTTATGGATAGCATTTTAATAACTGCTAGATTCAACGATTTACATCTCCACATACACATACATACATACATATATGCCTATCCAATTGTGTATTGTAACCTTGCTTTCTTGGGGAGGAGGAGATTCTAATTTTTGTGTAGTTTGGTTATGGATCTTTTTTAAAAAACCAGTATAAAGGGAAGTATAGAATAGATATTCATAAATAAACCAGAATTATGAGCAATTATATCTTGGCAAAAACTCTTGCTTGCCAAATTCCATTGCCTAGGGCACACAGCTGGGTACACTTGGTGAAAAGCAACTTTTGCCGTTCCCAGGCTTGGCCTGTAAAACCCTCACCCAGTCCTATGTGCTTTCTCCATCTGGCTGAATGCACAGAATGGTCTCTAGAAGATAGCAGAGTCACACAGTGGAGCCTGGGTTCCTCCATCACCACTTAGAAGACAATATTGCTATATGAGAAATTGTTGTTGTATTAAGGCATTGAGACTTGGGGATTTATCTGTTACAGCAGCTAGTGTTACTCTAATAAAAATATAGATGTCCTCACATCTAATAATAAAAAGGCACTTGTTTATATAGTAGGTTTACACTGAGTGATGGTGTTTTCCTCTTTTTTTGAAAAATAGGAGTCTCACTACATTGCCCACGCTGGTCTCAAACTTCTGGGCTGAAGCGATCCTCCCGCCTTGGCCTTCCCTTTGTTGGGATTGCAGGCATGAGCCACCGTGTCCAGGCAAGTAATGGTGTTTTAAACAGACTCTGGAGCCAGACTACCTGAGTTCAAATCTCAACTTCAGCTCCTCCCAGCTATATAACCTGGTGTGTACTTAATCTCTCTCTAGTTGTCATAAGGCCTCATCTCTTAACCCTTTTTGCTGCCTGTAATATTTTGAGCTTCTTCTCCCATGGAAAAAGCTCAGAAGGTAAAGCATTATGACAACTGGACTAAGGCAGTGACAGCCCATGGGGCAAAGAGTGAGATATAACAGATGTTCTGGAAGCCAAATCAGTGAGCCACTGTGACCTGAAATAAATGGAGGTGAAAAGAGAGGAGTCTAGGGTAACCCCTAACCTCCCACCTCAGGTCTCTGGGTTGGTCAACTGGGTAGAAAGATGTCTTTTCCTGAAATAGAGAATGCTGGAAGAAGAAGGCGAGATTGGGAAGTAGGGGTAGGAAAATATGAATCCCCTGTGGGATCTGGTGAGTTTAAGATATCTGTAAGGCCAATGGAAATTCCCAACCCAAGGGGAATGGAGCTTAAGGGAGATTAAGATTTGGATGGGCAGTGAAGTAGTGGCAGCTGAAGCCCTGGCTGTGGAGTGCAATTCTCCAGGGTCGGCAGGTAGAGCAATTTTTAAACTTCAGTGAGTCTAAGTTCCTGGATTTTTATGAGGTAAAGACTACCCTTTGAGAAATAGTAGTATAGGATGAGATCACTTCTTTTTTTTTTTTTTTTTTTTTTTTGAGACAGAGTCTTGCTCTGTCGCCTAGGCTGGAGTGCAGTGGTGCGATCTCAGCTCACCACAACTTCCACCTCCCGGGATGAAGCAATTCTCCTGCCTCAGCCTCCTGAGCAGCTAGGATTACAGGCACACACCACCATGCCCAGCTAATTTTTGTCTTTTTTTTTAGTAGAGACGGGGTTTCACCATGTTGGCCAGGCTGGTCTTGAATGCCTGACCTTGTGATCCACCCATCTCGGCCTCCCAAAGTGCTGGGATTACAGGTGTGAGCCACCGCACCCAGCCAAGATCACTTCTAAGATTAGAAAATGTTACTCTTCTCAGAGATTCTGTAGTCTTTTTTTTTTTTTTTGCCCCTAACATTTTACTGTAAAAATTTTCTGATGTACAGAAAAGTTAGAATAATTTTACTGTGAACCACCGTATACCCACCAACTGATTCTACAATTAACACTTTGCCATATTGGCTTTATCACATATCTATCCATTTCTTTATGCATCCATCAATCTTTTTTTTTTGGAGATAGAATCTCACTCTGTCACTCAGGCTGGAGTGCAGTGGTGCTATCTTGGCTCACTGCAACCTCCGCCTCCCAGGTTCAAGCAGTTCTCCTGCCTCTGCCTCCTGAGTAGCTGGAATTACAGGCGTGTGCTACCACACCCGGCTAATTTTTGTATTTTTTTACAATACAAATTTTGTATTTTTTACAATACGGGGTTTCACCATATTGGCCAGGCTGGTCTCAAACCCCTGACCTCAAGAGATCTGCTCACCTCAGCTTCTGAATGCGCTGAGATTATAGGCATGAGTCACCGTGCCCAGCCCCATCAGTCTGTTTTTATGCATTTCAGAGTAAACTGAAGACATCAACAGACTTCACCTTTAAACATTTCAGCATTTATATACAGATGCTTCTCAATTTATGGTAGAGTTATATCCCGATAAGTTGAAAATATCATTAAGTGAAAAATGTATTTAATACACCTACTGAACATCACAGCTTAGCTTAGCCTATTGAGCAAAATCACCTAACACAAAGCCTATTTTATAATAAAGTGTGGAATATCTCATGTAATTTATTGACTAGTCTCCTGAAAGTGAAAAACAGAATGGTTGTATTGCTTTCACAACATCCTAGAGTTGAAAAATCATAAATTGAACCATCCTAAGTTGGGGTCCATGTTTAATTAACTAGAGTTCAATTCTTTTTTCCATCTGTCCGGATGAAAGAGTTCAATATTTTTTGTGGATTTTTAAGGTCAAAGTTACATAGACTAAAATGCATGAGTATGTCATTCAAGAGTTTTGACAAATGTATACATCCATGTGACTCAAACCCCTGTCAAGATATAGGACATTACCATCACTCCAGAAAATTTCCTCCTGCTCTTCCTAGCCAATACCCACTCCCACCAATCTCCAGAGGCATCTACTATTCTGATTTTTATTACCACAGATTAGTTTTGCTTCCTTTAGAACTTCATATAAATAGAATCACGCAGTGTGAACTCTTTTATATTTGGCTTCTTTCTAGCAGGATGTGTTTGAGAATCATCCATAATGTTGTATACAGTTCCTATTTATTGCAGGATAGAATTCTACTGTATGACTATGCCATCACTTATCCATCCTCCCATTGATGGACACCAAGGCTGTTTCCAGTTTGTTTGGGTTTTCTTTTGCTACTGAAAAGCTACTATGAATATTCTTGTACAAATTGTTTGTGAATATATGTTTTCATTTCTCTTGAATAAATACTTAAGGCCGGGCGCAGTGGCTCACTCCTGTAATCCCAGCACTTAGGGAGGCCGAGGTGGGTGGATCACCTGATGTCAGGAGTTCGAGACCAGCCTGGGCAACATGGTGAAACCCCATCTCTACTAAAAATACAAAAATTAGCCGAGCGTGGTGGCAGGTGCCTGTAATTCCAGCTACTCGGGAGGCTGAGGGAGGAGAATCACTTGAACCTGGGAGGCGGAGGTTGCGGTGAGCCGAGATGGCGTTACTGCACTCCAGCCTTGGTGACAGATCAAAGCTCTGTCTCAAAAAAATAAAAAATACATAAATACTTAGGAGCAGAATTACTAAACATGTCTGGTTTTAAAAAGAACTGTCAGACTTTTTCCCTTTACATTCCTACCACAATGTAGGAGAGTTCCAGTTGCTCCACAGTGTTGCCACCCTTTGATGTAAATGGTTTTCTGAATTTTAGCCATTCTGGTGGATGTGTAATGGTATTTAATTGCGGTTTTATTTTGCATTCCCATTGTGACAAATAAGTTGGACACCTTTTCAACTACTTATGGCCATTTACATATCTTTTTTTTTTTAACATTGAGAAACTTAAGGATGAAAAATCTGTTTTTATTTTTATTTTTAGAAATGGGGTCTTACTTTGTCACCCAGGCCGGAGTGCAGTGGTGTGATCATAGCTCACTGCAGCCTTGAACTCCTGGCCTCAAGTGATCCTCCCACCTCAGCCTTCCAAAGTGCTGGGATTACAGGTGTGAGTCACTGCGCCCAGCCTATATTTCTTCTTTTGTGACATGTCTGTCCAAATATTTTGGTCATTTCTATTGGGTGTCTTTTTTTGTATTAACTAGTTATAGAAGGTATACATCTTAGGTATTAGTCCTTTGTCAGAGACATGTTTGCAAATACTCTCTCCCAGTCTGTGGCCTGCCTATTGACTTTCTTTCTTTCTTTCTTTCTTTCTTTTTTTTTTTTTGAGATACAGTCTCTCTCTGTCGTCCAGGCTGGAGTGCAGTGGCATGATCTTGGTTCACTGCAACCTCCACATCCCAGGTTAAGCGATTCTCCTGCCTCAGTCTGCTGAGTAGCTGGGACTACAGGCACGTGCCACCACACCTGGCTAATTTTTGTGTTTTTAGTAGAGATGGGGTTTCACCATGTTAGCCAGGCTGGTCTCGAACTCCTAACCTCAGGTGATCCGCCCACCTCAGCCTCCCAAAGTGTTGGGATTACAGGTGTGAGCCACCACGCCCAGCTTTATTCACTTTCCTAGTGATTTTTTTTGATGAGCAGAAGCTTTTTGTTTTAATCAAATCTAACTTAGTATCTCATATACCAAATCTGTATTAGTTTGCTAGGGCTACCATAACAAAGTACTAAAAACTGGCTTAAACAACAGGAATTTATTATCTTACAGTTCTGGAGACTAGGCCTCCAGGATTAAGGTGTTAGCAGGTTTATTCCTTCTGAGGCTGTGAGAGAATCTGTTCCATGCCTGTCTCCTAGGTTCTAGTGGTTTGCTGGCAATCTTTAGCATTCCTTGACTTGCAGGCACATCACTCTGCCTTCATCTTTCCTCGTTGTTCTCCCAATGTGCATGCCTCTGTGTCCAAATTTCCTCTAGTTATAAGGGCACCAGTCATATGGATAGGGCCCACCCTAATGATGTAATTTATTGTTTGTTTAAAACATTTTCCTTTTCTAGGGCTCTTGCATTTCCATATAAATTTTTAAAATCAGCCTGCCAATTTCTACAAAAACATAAGCCTATGATTGGGATTGTGTTGAAAATAGGTCCATTTGAGAAGAACTGACATCTTACAAATATTGAGTTTTCCAATCTATGAGCACAATATATGTCTCCATTTAACTATCTTCTTTAATTTCAGCAATGTTTTAAGGCTTTGGTGTACAAGTCTTACACAACTTTGTTACATTTATTACTAAGAATTGTGTGATTTGTTGCTATTTTTAAAAAAATGTCTTTTCCAATTGTTGCAGTTAATATAGAAATAACAGTTGGGTTTTGTGTCTCAACCCTGTATCCTGTGACCTTGCTAAATTCACTCAGTACTTCTAGGAATTATTTTGTAGATGTCTGCAATGATCTATGTAAACAATAATTTCACCTGTGAACAGAGACCGTTTCATTTATTTATTTCCAATCTTTATGCCTATTTCTTTTTCTTGCCTAACTGAACTGGCTAGGACCATGAGTACTACATTAAATAGAAGTGATAAGAGAAGACATCTTTGTCTTATTCCCAAGCTTGTGGGAAATGCATGCAGTATTTCCCCGTTAGGTATGTAATTAGCTGATTTTTTGGAGCTAACTTTGATCAAACTGAAGGAGTTGGCTTCTAAATTTTTAAAGAATTTTCACCATAAATTGGTGTTGAATTTCATTAATGCTTTTCCTGCACCAAAAATGTTAAACCAAGATTGCATTCCTGGGGTAAACCTAACTTAGTCATGATGTATTACATATATTTATTTATAAATTATATATACAGATATATTTATAAATATGTGTGTGTGTATATACATATACATATATACATATACAAACACACACATATGTATCTTGGGTTTTATGTCTATATTCATGAGGAATAGTGGTCTTTTCTGTAATATTTTTGTCGGGTTTCTTCCGGCATTATAAAATTTGTTTGGAAATGTTTCTTCCTCTATATTTTGAAAGCATTTGTATAACAATGCTTTTTTTGTTTTTTTCTCCTTAAATGTTTGATACAATCCTCTGGTGAAGCCATCAGGTTCTGGTGTTTTCTCTGTGGGATTTGTCTGTCTTGAGTTTCAAAGCTTGTTATTTTGGAATAACTTCAGATTGACAGAAAAGTTCCAAAGACAGTTCTTGTATACTTTTCACCCAGCTTCCCCTCTTGTTAACACCTTACATAGTCATAGTATGTTTTTCTTTTCTTTTCTTTTCTTTTTTTTTTTTTTTTTTTTTTGAGACGGAGTCTCGCTCTGTCGCCCAGGCTGGAGTGCAGTGGCGCAATCTCGGCTCACTGCAAGCTCCGCCTACCGGGTTCACGCCATTCTCCTGCCTCAGCCTCCTGAGTAGCTGGGACTACAGGCGCCCGCCACCACGCCCGGCTGATTTTTTGTATTTTTAGTAGAGACGGGGTTTCACTGTGTTAGCCAGGATGGTCTCAATCTCCTGACCTCGTGATCTGCCCGCCTCGGCCTCCCAAAGTGCTGGGATTACAGGCGTGAGCCACCACGCCCGGCCTCTTCTTTTCTTTTCTTTTTTTTTTTTTTTTTGAGACAAGGTCTTGCTCTGTCGCCCAGGCTGGAATGCAGTGGCACAAACTCAGCTCAATGCAACCTCCGTCTCCCGGGTTTAAGCAATTCTCCTGCCTCAGCTTCTTGAGTAGCTGGGATTACAGGTACATGCCACCATGCCCAGCTAACTTGTGTATATTTTTAATAGAGACGGGGTTTCACCATGTTGGCCAGGCTGTTCTCAAACTCCAGACCTTGTGATCCACCCACCTCGGCCTCCCAAAGTGCTGGGATTATAGGCGTGAGCCACCACGCCCAGCCTAGTATGTTTTTCAAAACTAAGAAATTGGCCAGGCGTGGTGGCTCACACCTATAATCCCAGCACTTTGGGAAGCCGAGGTGGATGGATTGCTTGAGCTCAGGAGTTCAAGACCAGCCTGGGTAACATGGTGAAACCCCAGCTCTAAAAAAATACAAAAATTAGCCAGGTTTGGTGGCATACACCTGTAGTTCCAGCAACTCAGAAGGCTGAGGTGGGAGTATCGCTTGATCCTAGGAGCTGGAGGTTGCAGTGAGCCGAGATTGAGCCATTGCACTCCAGCCTGGGTGACAGAGTAGTGAGACCCTGTCTCAAAACAAAAAATTAAACAAACAAAAAAAACTAAGAAATTAACGTAGGTACCATACTATTAACTAAGTTTTTATTTGGATTTCACCATTTTTTTTTCTGTCCTTTTTTTCTGTTTCAGAATTCAGTCTAGGCTTCCACATGACACTTAGTTGTAATGTCTCCCAGTCTCCTCCAATCTGTGATAGTTGATTGGTCTTTCCTTGTTTTTCATGCTGTGGTAGGTTTTAAAAGTACCAGTCAGGTGTTTTCGTAGAATGTTGCTCATCTGGGTTTTTCTGATGTTATCACATGATTAGACTGGGGTTAAGGATTTGAGGAACAATATCAAAAGAGCAAGTGCCCTTCTCATCACTTCATATCAGAAATCTGAGTATCACTGATGATGTTAACCTTGATTACTTTGTTAAGGGAATGTCTTCCAGGCTTCTCCTTTGTAAAGTCACAATTTTTCTCTTCCTATGCTCTATTCTTTGGAAACAAGTTGGTTAAGTTCAGTCTATAATCAATAGGATGGGAATTAACCTCCACCTTCTAAGGGGGCAACTGTCTACAGACATTATTTGAAAGTCTTCTACAAGGAAAAAGGAAGTTTTGTCCCTTTTTCTTCACTTATTTGTTTTTTATTTATTAAATTATTAATTTATATCCCTAGTTTCATTGATATTTATTCTTTGAGTTATCATCTCCTATTCTGTGGGTTCTCTTTTCACCCTCTTGATAGTATTCTTCGATGCACAAAAGTTTTGAATTTTGTATATTCAGTTTTTTAAAGTATATGTAGTTAGAATGAGTAATCTGGTGGTGCAGGACGCTACTTTTTCATTGTATTTTTCATATCTTCTGTATCCTTACTAATTATTTGTCTGCTAACCCATCGATAATTGAAAAAAATGTGTTAAATCTTCCTCTGTGACTATGGGTTTATTCTTACACTGTGAAGATCTGCTTTATCACAATAATACTTTTTGCCATCAAGTCTACTTTGTCTGATGTTAATATGGCTAAAACACATTTCTTTTGGATAGTATTTCTTTCTTTCTCTCTCTCTTTCTCTTTTTCTTTCTTTTTTTTGAGACAGGGTCTCGATTGCCCATTCTGGAGTGCAATGGCATGATCATAGCTCACTGCAACCTCAAACTCCTGACCTCAAGTGATCCTCCCGCCTCTGGGATTACAGGCGTGAGCCACTGCGTCAGACAATTTTTTTATTTCATTTCTGTGCCACATATTTTAGGGATATTGCTTATGAACAGCACAGAACTGAAATTATCTTCGTCCAATCCACAAGTCTTTTTTTTTTTTTTTTTTTTTAAGACGGAGTCTTGCTCTTTCACCCAGGCTGGAGTGCTGTGGCATGATCTTGGCTCACTGCAAGCTCCGCCTCCCAGGTTCACGCCGTTCTCCTGCCTCAGCCTCCTGAGTAGCTGGGACCACAAGCGCCCACCACCACGCCCGGCTAATTTTTTGTATTTTTAGTAGAGACATGGTTTCACCGTGTTAGCCAGGATGGTCTCGATCTCCTGACCTCGTGATCTGCTGCCTTGGTCTCCCAAAGTGCTGGGATTACAGGCGTGAGCCACCGCACCCAGCCCAATCCACAAGTCTTTATCTTTAAACTGGTGAGTACTGTCTAAATGTAAATATTACAGTTACTATGATAACTGATATGTTTGAAAGTAATTATACCGCTTTATTTTATGTGCTTGTGTTTCTTCTTCATCCTTCCTGTCATCTATTGGATTGATCATGTTTTAGGACTTAGTCACATGCTTACCATTTCTCTGCTCACTAGTGCTGCTTAGATTCTATACTTTCTTTCTGGGTCCTTCCTGAAGTATGTTCTTTGTTGTTTTTTCAGGGGTCAGTAGAAAACTCTCTTAATACTTATTTGTCTGAAAATCAATGTATTGTGCTCTCACTCCTTGAAGACATTTTTCCATTATTGCCGGAAAGTGTCAACATTAGTAGTGTTGGGCATTGTCATTTTATTCTCCATCTCTTTTAACTTCTCTCTCATATTTTCCATCTCTTTAACTCTCTGAGATGCATTATGGGCACTTTTAGCTCACTAATTCTCTCTTCAGGTATGTCTCATGTCCTATTAACCTGTTCATTCCCATTTTAAAAGGAGGGATTATTTTGATAAAATATGTACATGTGCAGAAAAGTGCAAAACACACAGGTGTACAACTAACTTAAATATTGTAAAGTGAACATCTATGTAACAATCGCCCAGGTCTAGAAACAGAATTTTTCCAGCTACCCTAGAAGCATTTGATGGGTCCCTTCACATTCACAAACCCCTCCCCACTCCCAAAGTTACCACTATTCTGACTTTTATATTAAATATTTTCTTCCATCAGGAAACATTTGCCTTCCTTTGCTTACCATTACGTTCCTGAGATGCATCCACATTGTTGCATGAAACTATAGTTCGTTGTTGCTATGTCTAATGCCACGTTTCTCTGCGTTTTGGCTATTCTTAGTCCTTTTCATTTCCATATCACTGTATGATTTAATTTATGGGAAGAACAAAAACAGGCAAAAATATAGAATTTTATATGAAGGATTTCTTTTCTTATTTATTTATTTATTTTGAGATGGAGTCCTGCTCTGTTGCTCAGGCTGAGTGCAGTGGTGCAATCTCAGCTTACTGCAACCTCCGCCTCCTGGGTTCAAGCGATTCTCATGCCTCAGCCTCCCGAGTAGCTGGGATTACAGGCACACACCACCATGCCTGGCTAATTCTTGTATTTTTAGTAGAGATGGGGTTTCACCATGTTGGCCAGGCTGGTCTCAAACTCCTGACCTCAAGTGATCTGCCCACCTTGGCCTCTCAAAGTGCTGGGATTACAGATGTTAGCCACCACGCCCAGCCTATATGAAAGATTTCTTATAATTTATTCCATGTAATCTCAAATTACATGAAAGGTGAGTGATTTGCTTTTTCAGGATCCAAATTTTACTTCTTAAATAAAGCAGCATGATACAGAACAATCCATATAGTATGATTCCATTAAAACAAAGACATGCCTATGTGGGTATGCATCTATATACACATGCACATATTTATCCATTCAAATAATTCTACAATTCTAGAAGGACCAAATTGTCATCAGTGGTTACCTCTGGTGTGTAGGAATGGCAGAGGTAGGAAGGTGTACATATGTATGTGGGAGGACTATGTGGGCAGACACTTCACATTTTACTCCTTGCTTATTATTATTTTTTTATTTTTACAATGAGCATTCTTTTTTTTTTCTTTTTTACAACACCAGAAAAAGTCACATTCTCAGAAGAAGAAAGGATTTGTTTTGGGTGCAGTGGTCTCCCCACCAGGCTCCTTTTCATACCTGGTGGCTGCAGTTACTTTCCAGAGCACAGCAGAACCAACCTGAGGCAACTGGAGTCCTCTTGTCTACTTTTCAGATTCTTGAATGGCTGGTCTTCAGCTCATGGAAACCTGGCTTTAAATGGCAGCCCCCAAATTCAAGAGAAAACACCAATTGCAAGCAATTCTAAAAGTCAGGCCATTGGGCCCTTGGGACCCAGAAGGGGAGTGAAACTCCAGAGCAAAAGGAAAATGCAATCGCTATCCCACACACCCTGGGAATGGGCTGGACTCCTGACCTTCCCCATCGCCCCCAGAGAGAGAGGCAGGGAGAGCTCTACAGCAATGAGAGGCTTTCCTTCAGGCTTCAGCTTTAGTGACCCCCAGTGACATCTTAGCAGCCAGCTTCTCATGCTGCATCCAGTGCAAGAACAACTTTTCCAGCCTAGAGCAGCAGTTGCATGAAACCTACCATTGACTGAGCTCTTATTATAAATGTGCCCTGCACTGTGTTCACAACAAACCCATAAAGGAGGTTTTATACTTGTCCTCATCTTACACTTGGAGAAACAGAGGCTCGGAGATGTGAAATGACTTGCTCAAGTTCATCCGGCTAGCAGTGGCAGAGTTAGAACCTACCCCATCCAGTCTGACTCCCAAGCCTGCACTCAACTTCTAAACTCCAAGGCAGGGCATCACAGTCAGATGATTTCAGAGCGAGTGGGCATTGACCACCCAGTGCACTGAAAAGAGACATCCACTGGAATCAGATTCCCATTTGGTGTCTGCCCCTGGACAAGTCACTTCCTCCTTTTGGCCTAAATATCCACATCTGTAAAGTGGGGACAACAATATCTTTCTCTCAGGGTTGTTCTGAGAATTAGAAATAAGATATGTAGAGAAACTACTACCAGCCCAAGCACTGAGGCACTCGATATAAAGCTGCCATCATCATCATCATCATCACCACCACTTTAAGCAGCCTGCTCAAAATGGAGTGGAAAGAAGGAATCTTAATAAGCACCCCACTTTGCACCTGTCCTGTTAGGTGCCCAGTGGGTGGCCCCTTCTCTCCATTCCCATGGCCTCATCCCTTGCAGGCTTCCTGGCTTCTGGCATTACCCTTCTCCAATATGCGCCCCACACAGCACCCAGCAAGACCCATCACTAAAACCTTCCCCATTTCCTTAGTGAAGCCCACCCCATGCTGGCCCTCACTGGCTCCTCTAGCACAGCCTTCTCCCTTCTGCAGAACACCCTGCACCCGTGCTCAGTTCCATATTTTTGCACATGCTGGTCCACTTTCCAGAAATACCCTCCCCCTCACACCCCCTTCATGGACTCTCACGCCTCCCACAAGGTCCCACTCAAATCCTTCAGGAAGCTTCCAGAATCCCATCTCACACCTAGGGTGAGGGACTCCTTCTTCTGCTCCACAACACTTTGTTCCTCAATTGTCAATAAGCATGCTTTAGGGAAAATTATGGTGACTTCATGCTCTATAATGTCTTCCCTACTGTCTTTTCCTCCTCGAGGCCCGGGCCTGGCAGTGTCTAGCGCACAGTCAGCGCTTAGGAACTGTTTAGAGCATGAATAGATGAAGACCAACTGCATCTCAGTAAAAGGAACATTTTCTAATTATTTGAGTTATTCACAGGAAGATGGGGTGCCAGTGAGCACCCTGTCACCGGGGGAGTGTACACTACAGGAACAGGAAAGAGCAGAGGTGTGGATGTGGACTCCTAATGACACAAACCATGGATAAGTTATGCTGGAATCACCTGGAGTACTGGTTGCTATTTATTTATTTACTTTTGAGAAGGAGTCTCACTCTGTTGTCCAGGCTGGGGTGCAGTGGCGCAATCTCGGCTCACTGCAACCTCTGCCTCCTAGTTCAAGTGATTCTCCTGTCTCAGCCTCCCAAGTAGCTGGGATTACAGGCATGCACCACCATGTCCGACTCATTTTTGTATTTTTAGTAGCGACGGGGTTCCACTATTTTGGCCAGACTGGTCTCAAACTCCTGACCTCAGGTGATCCTCCTGCCTCGGCCTCCCAAAGTGCTGGGATGACAGGCGTGAGCCACGACACCCGGCCCTGGTTGCTATTAATAATACAGATTCCTCGACTCAGGAGACTCTGATGCTGCAAGTCTGGGACAGTCCAGTTGTCTGGATTTGGAACAACATCCCCAGGTAATTTTGAAACACACCCATGTTTTGGGACGACTGAACTTGGTGACCTCTGAAGCCATTTGCAATCAGGTTTTGTGTGTGAAGGCCCTTCTTCAACTGTGAAGTGCTGTCCACAAGTCTTGGCTCCGGATGTTACCAGGCCCCCGAGACTGGGGAACTGAAGATTCAGGCTAGGGCTACAGCTCCTCGGACTCTGGGAGGTTACGGACCCAGCCCTGGGCCACTCTGTTGAAGCTGGGTCTGAGACGGAGGAGTTCCAAGCCACTGAGGGGCTCCGGGATGAAGGGGGTGCCTGGCCTGGGAAAAGTGCCCCCCACGAGGGGTCCTCCAAATGGCACCGGGGTCCTGGAGAAAGAGAGCAGCAGGAGAGGTGGGCTGTGTGGAACAGGGACAGCAGTACACTGACATGTGGATCACCATGTATGGGCCCCTCCCTGCCGCTCTCTGAGCCTCAGTTTTCCCTTCTATACAGCAAGATTCTGTACATCTTTTTTTTTTTTTTTTTTTTGAGACAGAGTCTCGCTCTGTCACCCAGGTTGGAGCGCAGTGGGGTGATCTCAGCTCACTGCAACCTCCGCCTCCCAGATTCAATCAATTCTCCTGCCTCAGCCTCCTGAGTAGCTGGGATTACAGGCACGTGCCACCATGCCCGGCTAATTTTTGTATTTTTAGTAGAGACGGGGTTTCACCATGTTGGCCAGGCTAGTCTCAAACTCCTGACCTCATGATCCGCCCATCTCGGCCTCCCAAAGTGCTGGGATTACAGGCGTGAGCCACCGCACCCAGCAATTCTGTACATCTTAAGAGGTTTTTTTCAACTTTGCCCATTTCCAAGTCTGCGCCTACTTGGGTGGTTCGTTGCTTAGCAATAGAAGTGAAGCCGATGGAGTCAGAATTGACTTGTCCTAGGCAAGACTCTAGACTCCCCTTCAGTAAGCTCCCCTTAGGACAAAAGGCCCAAAACTAGAGAGAGAAGAGAGCATTAGAAAGAGCACTGAAAATCAGGGGGGAAATGCAGATTACAACAGATATGCCATTTCTCCTCCAGGACACTGGCACGATGAAATAATGTGGTAACTGGGCAAAGTTGGTGAGATGGCGGGGGAAAAGTTTCACACATGCTGCTGGTTAGAGGGTAAGCCAGTGCTGCTACCGCAGAAGACAATTTGGCAGGATCTTTCTAACCTGAAATGTGTGAACTATGTCACCCCGCATCTTCACCTCTGAGCATATGGCTTAGGAAAGCACAGGCGCGTAGGCACTGGGATGCAGACCTGAGCAGCACATTAGTGACAAACCAGAAACAACCCACGTGTCCACTAGCAGAGAAATGGGCAAGACAGATAGAGCATGCTCACACGATAGAAAGCTATACAGCAGGCTGGGCACGGTGGCTCACGGCTATAATCCCAACACTTTGGGAGGCCGAGGAGGGCCGATCACCTGAGGTCAGGAGTTCGAGACCAGCCTGGCCCACATGGTGAAACCCCGTCGCTAGTAAAAACACAAAAATTAGATGGGCATGGTGGTGGGTGACTGTAATTCCAGCTACCTGGGAGGCTGAGGCAGAAGAATTGCTTGAACCTGAGAGGCAGAGGTTGCAGTGAGCTGAGATTGTGTCATTGCACTGCAGCCTGGGCCACAAAAGCAAAACTCTGCTCCACCCCGCGAAAAAAAAAGAAAAAGAAAACTATACAGCAGCTTAAAAGGAACTAGAGCTCTACGTATTAGTATGGTAGATTTCGAAAGCGTAATGTTGAGTAAAAAAAGCAAGTTAACAGAATGAAGTGCAAAGTATTAACACACACACCCCCACACACACACAAACGCCATTCCCCCTACAGGCATGCAGCTGCCCACACAAAATGTTCTGAGCCCATTCAGGCCAGCCTGACAACCATGTTACCTTTGGGAAGGCAACTGGGATTGGAGGATGGTGAGCAAAGGGGCTCTACATTTATTTGCCTAACATTTTTTAAAAGAGAACCTATGTATGTGATTTTAATAATACTTTTTTTTGTTGTTTTGTTTTGTTTTGTTTTGAGACAGGGTCTTGCTCTGTCACTCAGGCTAGAGTGTAGTAGAAGGATCTCGGCACACTGCAACCTCCGCCTCCCAGGTTCAAGCGATTCTCCCACCTCAGCCTCCTGAGTAGCTGGGATTACAAGTGTGTGCCAAGAAGCCCAGCTAATTTTTGTATTTTTAGTAGAAATGAGATTTCATCATGTTGGCCAGGCTGGTCTTGAACTTCTGACCTCAAGTGATCCGCCTCCCTCGGCCTCCCAAAGTGGGATTACAGGCATGAGCCACTGCGCCCGGCCTTAATACTGTTTCTTAATTTTAAGAAAAATAAAAATCATTGCTTGTGTTGTTTTTCCAGCAGCCTGGGACCAGTGGGAAGAGGAGAGTGCTTGCCTCTGGGGTGGAAAGACAAACCTTGAGCCAGGGCCTGAGTCCCAGCCAGGAAAGCATTTCTGCCTGGACCACCCCAGTTTTGGTGGCAACAGCCAGGCCTCACAGGAACAGGCTGGGTGGTGTCCAAGCCATGCAAGGCCCACAGTCAGGCCCTTGACTGGGAGCCCAGGACCCTGGAAGCTGAGCACATCTTGGCCACCCAAACTGCTGTTTCTCTTCTCTATGCCTCAGTTGGTCTTTCTCCCTCAGAAGAGGTCTGGATGCAGGGCTCCCTAAGAGCCTCTTTCTGCTGGTGGGAATGTGCCTTGCTGTCATACATGAGGCATGAGATCAGTGGGAGATGCAACCTGAGTGGCCCAGCCTGGAAGCTGCCTGCCAGGACTGAATGTCTGCTGCAGGTTTCAAATGACTGGGCAGGCAGGGTCTGAGGGCCCAGGAGGAGATAGGGCAGTCCTGCCTGCCAGGGAACTCCAGAATGTCTGTTAATGGCTCGTGACTCACACAGCGCATGCTAAGCCCAATTCTTCCCATCAGGAAGTCTCTGCCTATTCAGATATTTGAGGGCAGTCACATCCCTCTGGAGCTGTCTCTTCTCAAGGCAGATCACCCCCAGTTCCTTCAGCCCTTCCTCATATGTGCTGATTTTCCAGGCCTAGCTAGGCTCTGGCGCCCACCCGTCTGTCTTAGACAGACCCAGTCTCCACGTGTGGTCTGAGCAAATGCCAGAAGAGCAGGACCGTGGCGTCCTCTCTGTGGACTCCCCTTTTCCTCACTAAATGCAGCCCAAACCAGAGGAGCATATTCAAAAATAGCACCAGACCAAGGAAGCCAATGCAGTTAACATGCACTCCTCAGCCCAAGGCCTTCCCCCAGTGCCAAGCTCCTGTCTTGATTCCTATGGTTTGTTTTCAGGCCCTCAGTGCAGAATGGTAAATGTATCCCTTTCAAGCTCTCCCCTGTCCAAACTTCATCTCAGCTGTAAATAATAATCATAATACGCCGGGGGCGGTGGCTCATGCCTGTAATCCCAGCACTTTGGGAGGCAAAGGCGGGTGGATCACGAGTTCAGGAGTTCGAGACCAGCCCGGCCAACATAGTGAAACCCTGTCTCTACTAAAAATACAAAAAATTAGCCGGGCACGGTGGTGGGCGCCTGTAATCCCAGCTACTAGGGAGGCTAAGGCAGGAGAATCGCTTGAACCCAGGAGGAAGAGGTTGCAGTGAGCTGAGATTGCGCCATTGCACTCCAGCCCGGGTGACAGTGTGAGACTCCGTCTCAAATAATAATAATAACAACAACAACAATAATAGCTATTGTTTGTTGCAAGTGTCTTACTTGCCAGAAACTTTACCTATGGCTTCTCGTGTCATCTCCATAGCAACTTTATGAAGCAGGTACTATAAACCCCTCATTTTACAGGTGGGGCAATGGAGGCTCAGAGAGGTTAAGTCACTTGCCCAAGGTCAACACGGGCAGGCCTGGGGTCTGCATTCAAGTCCACGTGGAGGCCTCACGCTCTAAACCCATATAGGCCACTGCGCTGTGGCCCTCACTCTGGCGTCCAATGTTTCACTGCCACTCTCCACTTTGGGGCAGCCTCAAAGCTACCTTGTTGGCCTCTTCTAGGCCATTGGTGAAAGGAAAAGCTGAGCTGGCCTCGAACTGCTGAAATCTGGGGACCCCTCAGAGAAGGACACAAATCTAGATGTTCATCAAAGAGGTAGCACACAGCAGCCATGGAGAACAAGGCACTGGGCTCTGGAGTCAGACAAACCCAGACCTGAATCCCGGCCCTGCCGGTGCTTCCTTGTTTTGTGGCTTTGGCCGGGTTGTTCATATTCCTGAGCCGCAGCCTCTTCATCTGCAGAACAGGAAAACTCATAGCACCCGCCCACCATGTCCTGGAGAATATCCAAGATGTGCGGCACCTTCACTCTTCATTTCTCCCACGTTAACTGAGCACCTACCAGGTGCGGAGGCGCTGTTCCAGCCAGAGCTCAGTCAATGAATAGAAAGCGCTGGGGACAGAGCCTGGCCTGCAGAAAGTGCTCAGGAAACGCAGGCTCCCGCTGTGGCTGTGACTGGCTTCCCGCCCCTCCCGGTCTGTCCCCCGGGCTGCCCGCCCCGCCTTACTTGTTGAAATTTCGGTAGTCGTTGGGGCTGGGGGTGTGACTTCGGCCATCGCTCTGGTAGTCCCGGTAGCTGACGAACTCCTGCCAAGGGCAGCGGTAGCCCTTGGAGATGGCGGTGTGGTTGAACTTCTCTGGCGGGACGCCCTTCAGCGGCTCCGCATAGCCTAGGGGCGCGGGGGGAAGGGAGCGCCTCCGTTCTTCCACCCTCAGCCCCCAACCCCACCTCGCCCCACCCCCATTCCGCGGACGCGGTTGGAGGAGGGAAGATCGGAGTTAGGGGAGAGGACGGCGGGAATGGGAAGCCACAGTTGCTCCAGCACAGGAGACCCCTCCCCATCCCAGGAAACACGGAGGACTGCAGTGAGGAAGCCACGAGTTCGCAGCGCGGGTTGGTCTTGGCCTTGGCTGACTCGCTGTGTGACCTGGGGCGCGGCGCCCCTCCGGCTCGTGGTCTGGCGAGGGGAGTGCGCGCGTGCGCGTGTGTGTTGGGGAAGGGGGCGGACTAGCCTTCTGGGTGCTCTTCCTGCCCCATGGGGAGCACACCCATGCTTCAGGCCCCCCAGCCCTGGTCCCGGGACCCGAGGAGGCCACTCACCTGGCGCCAGGGCGCTGGGGCTGGGGACGCACCCAGCAGGGGCGGCTGCAGGGTGGGCGCCCTCGGGACCCCCGAGTGAGGCCCCGGGTGAGGCCGGGAAGATGTGGAGCTCCGAGCGGTAGTTCGGCCCCTCAGGGCCATTGGCATTGGCAACCTGGGCACAGGGGCGGGTTCTCAGAGGCCACCGACGACCTCCCGCCCCCAGCCGCGCTCCCCTTCCCCCAGCTTCCCTTCCAGGGAGCTCCCCTCCACGCTCACCGTCCCCGACTCCGCTGTTCCAGTCACCTTCCTCCTGGCGCTTCCGGCCAGCATCTGGGAACGAGGGGGTAGAATAAACCGCAGAGAAGCTCAGCGGGGCAGGGGACCAGGGTTCTCCCTCCACCAAAAAAAAAGGTCGGGGGGAGGCAAGAATCCTAACGCCCATCATCGGGGAACAAGGATGAGTTACTAGTTTACAACGCTAAACCCAGTGCCTGGGACCGAGAAATACTCGATATATGTTAATTGCTATTGTAATGCCGAGTCCGGGCAAGATACTTAATTTCCCTGAGCCTCAATGTCCTTCTCGATAGAATGAGGATGATGGTGATGAAGATCTCTTCCTCAGAGGGGTCTATGAGCATTAAATGAGATACCTGCAAAGTGCTTAGCTAGCATTGTCTTAGGCACATAGCAAAGGCGGGTGTTTTGCCATCTTTATTTTTCTGCCACATCACTCCCTCTCAGTTGCCTCCTGTCTAGCCCAGAAATTAAGTGGAGGGTGGATGGAATAGCCCTGGCTTCCTTAGAAGTATCTGGAACTGCCTGCTGCCTTTCTGAAGCCAAGGGAAAAACCCTTCTTGCCTTTCTTCTCCACCAGCAGATTATTCCATGGCCTTTCCTTTCTCCGGTGGGAAGAAGAAAAAAGGGCATTCTACATTTTCCATCTTAGATCAGGCCCAAGTCTAAACTAGATCCAGCCTGCTGCAAATTTAGCCTAGAGTGCATGCCTGTCTTAGCTTTTTTTTTTTTTTTTTTTTTTTGGTAGGAGCCAGAGTCCCTTCACTCCACGGCTTATCCTCAACCCCCTAATCCACTTTGTTTACTTTGTTCTGTATCCAGGGAGAGATGCCTAAAAAGATAACACTTTTCAAGGATCACACTGAAAGGCAGGAGCCTAATCTGATGGGAACATCACAGTCCTCAGCCTGGCTTACCGTTTGACTTTAGGCTAACCAGTGGCTCTCTGTGGTCCTCATTTTCCCCATGAGCACAATGGTGGCTTACTCACCGCCCGCTGGCTGGCTGCTAACTCGAAAGTGAACTTCTGCACACGGCGCTGCCTCTTCTGGAAGAGGAGGGACCCTCTGTTGTTGCGTAGTGACAGCTCCTCCATCATCAGGTCCTGGGGCACGCTCAGCTTCTTGCCCAGGTCCAGCGTAGGGACTGCCAGGAAAGGCCAGAGCGGGCTCTCACCACCCCATCCCCCATACACTCCAGGCCCCACCTCTCGAAGCATGGCATGCTGTGTGTAAGAATGCCTGTTTCTCACCAAGCTTGCCGACACCGGGTGTCATGATTGTTTGAAATCTTTGCCCACCTGATGGGCAAAAATGACACCTCAGAGTTTAATTTGCATGTGTTTGTTGCTCAGTGAAGTTTAGCACTGTTTCCGAAGTTCTTTGGCCATTTGTGTTTATTGCATGAATTCCCCATGCAGGTCTTTGCCCATAATGGTGGAGGTAGTGAGAAATGGTCAGATTCTCGATATTTTTTAAAGGTAAGCCATGGGTATGGGCAATGAGTGAGAGAGGATGACTGCAAGGTTTCTGGCCTTAGCCACTGGAAGGATAGAGCAGCCATTCACGGAGATGGGGAAGGCAAAGGGAGGAGAAGGTTCTGGGAAAGATCAGGAGTTCAGTTTTAGACCTGTGTTCTTTTAACTTTAAAATAGCCTTTTATTATTATAAAAAAGCATATATGGGCCAGGCGCGGTGGCTCACGCCTGTAATCCCAGCACTTTGGGAAGCCAAAGCAGGCGCATCACCTGAGGTCAAGGGTTCGAGACCAGCCTGACCAACATGGCAAAAACCCATCTCTACTAAAAGTAGAAAAATTAGCTGGGCGTAGGTGGCGCATGCCTGTAATCCCAGCCACTCTGGAGGCTGAGGCAGGAGAATCACTTGAACCCAGGAGGTGGAGGTTGCAGTAAGCCGAGATTGCATTGCTGCACTCCAGCCTGGGTGACAGAGTGATTTTCCATCAAAAAAAAAAAAAAAAAAAAAAAAAAAAAAAAGCATATATGGGCCCTGAGGAAAGTTGGACAATACAGATATCAGACAAAAAAGAGAAAAATACCATTATCTATCACCCAGAGACTGCCACTATTAACACCTTAGTGTATGTCCTTTCATATCTTTTTCAATGACTATATTCCTATGAGGTTTTAACCAAAATAAAATTATAGCATACATGTTTTGTAATTTTTTTTTTTTTGAGATGTCACCCAGGCTGGAGTGCAATGGCACAATCTCGGCTCGCTGCAACCTCCGCCTCCCGGGTTCAAGCAATTCTCCTGCCTTAGGCTCGTGAGTAGCTGGATTACAGGTGCGCACCACCACGCCCAGCTAATTTTTGTATTTTTAGTAGAGATGGGGTTTCAACATGTTGGCCAGGCTGGTCTCAAACTCCTGACCTTGTGATCCGCCCCCCACCCCCCCTCGGGCTCCCAGAGTGCTGGGATTACAGGCGTGAGCCACCGCTCCCGGCCTGTAACTTGTTTTATCAAGATCTTTACAAGTTAAAGATCTCCACATTTCCAAGTGAACAAATTTTTGTTTTACCTAATATCTAGTCCATATCCAAACTCTGCTAATTGTCTCCAAAACTGGGCACACTAAGTTTGAGGAGACTTGTAGGCATCTAAGTAGTGGTGCTGAGGAGGGAGATAGATGTGTGAATCTGGAGAAAACTGACCTGGAGGTGAAATGTTGGGCATCATGAGCTTTTACTGGTATTTACTGGTATTTGTTGTTGTTTTTCAATGAAGAACGTTACATTTATTTCTTTTCTCATAGTTGGAACTAGTCTTTACAGCTATTTAGAGGATTTTCAGGGTGATGGCTGTTCTTAGTAGTTTGAGACCCATCCCTATCCTTTGTGCGTTTCCTACCAGCCAAATTCAAACTTTCACGTTTGGCCAACAAAGGAAGCCTTTTGCAGGACAGAGGGGACAGAATGGTGAGGACCTTGGCAGGTGAGAGCCCTGTGTGGGCAGCACGGCCTGCCTAGTCCATCTCTAAAATCAGATACACATACGTTCATATTCCAGCTCCATAAATGGTATTTTAAGCTGGGAGGCTGGATGAGATCATAAAGAAATGAGAATAGGTAAAGAGGATCAGAGACGGAGCCTGGGGCCTCCAACATTTACAGTGAGGCGGTGAGGAGGAACCAAGCCAGGAGCCTGGGCAGGAGCAGCCCACAACATAGGAAGAAACTAAAGAGGATGGCATCCTGGAAATAAATGATGAAAGCATTTCAGGTATGATAGAGAGACTAACAGAGCCAAGTGCTGCTGATGTGTCAAGGAAGATGAGGGCTGAAAATCCACTATTATATTTAGCAATACAAGGTCATTGGTAATTTTCACTAAAGCAGTTTCTATGGAGTGTTTGGGTGTGAAAGCCTAACTGGAGAGGGTTCAAGAGAAAATGGACAGAAGAACAAGTTTAACCACACCATGAGGAAGCGATAAGCCAAATCCAGGACGCAGGACATTCTACAGGACAACTGGCCTGGTTTTTCAAACAAGTGAGTGACATGGAAAAAAGGGGCAGAGGGGTTGCTTTAGATTAAAGGAGATTTAGGAGCCATAGCAACCAAATAAAAACTGTGGCCCTTGTTTGGATGCTGATGAAAACAAACTAGAAAACTGAAGAAGGTTGAATACAGACCGCTTATTAAATGGTATCAAATCATTACTGCAAATTTTGTTCAGTATGCTAATATCTTTGTGGCATGTAAGGAAATGCCCTTTTATTATTTTGATGCATTCTGAAGAATTTGCGGGGTGAAATGACATGCTTTTTGGTATTAGCTTTGAAATTTAGGAATGAAGGAGGGACCATGTACTCCCTACTTGTATGTGTCTTTGGAAATTGACTAATAAAATGTCAAAAAGAGAGAAAGAGAGGATTGGTAAGAACAATATAGACAACTGCTTGGAAGAGTTGGGCTTTAAAGGATCCTGGCTACAGACAGCTATGGGATCAAGAGGGGTTTGTTTGTTTGTTTGTAAAAATGGAGAAATAACAGCATGTGCGTTAACTGACGGGAACATTTGACAATGCAATAGAGAGAGGGGAGAATTGCTGAAGGAATGTCCTTGAGCAGGAGTGACAGGAGAGCTGGGTTTCCAGAGCCCAGCCAGAGGAATTGGCACCAGGCAGGTATGAGGAGAGTCCATCCACCATATCAGAAAGGAAAACCACAAACACGGGTGCAGATGCAAGCAAGTAGACAGATGTGGCGGAGGATGCTTGCAGATGTTCTCTTCTGGTTACTCTATTTTTCTCAGTGGAATAAGAAGCAAGGTCTTTAGCTGAGAATGAGGTTGTGCAAGGAGGTATTGGAGGTTTGAGAAGAGGGGTTGCCAAAGTCATTAAGAGAGTAGCATGAGATAGTGAATGAACTAGGGAGATGGACATGGCTACCAGGCAGTACTGGGGGTCACTTGGGTGCTGTGATTCATGCCAGTCAATGGAATCCTAAATAGCTGTCTAAAAAGGACACTGATTTTTTTTTATTCTTTCAACGGACACATAAAGGACACTTTTTATGTGCTAAGAACAGAAAGAAATCCACTTATAGGCCGGGCGCAGTGGCTCACACCCATAATCCCAGCACTTTGGGAGGCAGAGGAGGGTGGATCACTTGAGGTCAGGAGTTCAAGACCAACCTGGCCAACATGGCAAAACCCCTTCTCTACTAAGAATACAAAAATTAGCCAGGCATGGTGGCGTGTGCCTGTAATTCAGCTACTTGGGAGGCTGAGGCACAAGAATCACTTGAAGGTGGAGGTGAAGTTTGCAATGAGCTGAGATCATGTCACTGTGCTCCAGTCTGGGCAAAAGAGTGAGATGCTGTCTCAAAAAAAAAAGAAAAAAAGAAATCCAGTATAAATTAATTGGAGGGGAAAGTAAGATTCAGAAGAATAGGTATTCTAAGATCCCATTTATATTATATATTATATAACTATATTTTATATATATGTGTGTGTATATATATATATATATATTTTTTTTTTTTTTTTTTGAGACAGAGTCTTGCTCTGTTGCCCAGGCTAGAGTGCAGTGGTGCAATCTCGGCTCACTGCAACCTCTGCCTCCTGGGTTCTAGTGATTCTCCTGCCTCAGTCTCGCAAGTAACTGGGACTATGGGCATGAGCCACCACGCACGGCTAATTTTTGTATTTTTAGCAGAGATGGGGTTTCACCATGTTGGCCAGGCTGGTCCCAAACTCCTGACCACAAGTGATCTGCCCGCCTCAGCCTCCCAAAGTGTTGGGATTACAGGTGTGAGCCACCGCGCCCGGCCCCCATTTCTATATTAAAAAATAAGTATGTGTTTTTGCATGCATTGAAAAATCTGCAAGGAGACATGCCAAGGAGACATGTCACCACAGCAGTGACCATGGGACATATAAAGGAGGAGGGTTGGAAATTGTTTACACTGTTTTGTTGTAACTGTTTTTAACAAGAAAGTGTACTGCCTACTTAAAAATATAAAAGAATAGTTATACCTAAATACATAATAAAGCACCCTCAGTATCATATTCTGAAATACTATACAGATGAGCTGAGCTCAATATTGTTCTTTTTTTTTTTTTTTTTTTAGACGAGTTTCACTCTTGTTGCCCAGGCTGGAGTGCAATGGCATGATCTCGGCTCACTGCAACCTCTGCCTCCCGGGTTCAAGCGATTCTCCTGCCTCAGCCTCCCGAGTAGCTGGAATTGCAGGCATGCACCATCACGCCTGGCTAATTTTGTATTTATAGTAGAGATGGGGTTTCTCCATGTTGGTCAGGCTGGTCTCGAGCTCCCAACCTCAGGTCATCCGCTTGCCTCAGTCTCCCAAAGTGCTGGGATTACAGGCGTGAGCCACCTCCCCCAGCTGAGCTCAATATTTAAAAAAAAAAAATGGCAGGCACAGTGGCTCACAACTATAATCCCAGCACTTGCAGAGGGCAAAGTGGGTGGATTGCTTGGGCCCAGGAGTTCAAGACCAGCCTGGGCAATATAGCAAGACCCTGTCTCTATTAAAAAATAAAAAAAGATAAAATCTATTTGACTGAGTATTTCTATTTCTAGGAATTTATTCTCGGGGAAAAAGTTGAATAAATATGTCCAAAGATACATGTATAAGAATGTTTATTGCAGTGGGGTTTAAAATTGTGAAAACTGGGACTCAGTCTCGTGGTGGATGCTGCCAGATGCCCCTTATTAGTGGCTAAGAGTTCACACCACCACCTTCTACAGAGAACTGCCAGTGGAATGGATGCTCCACAGCGCCCTTGCCTCAGGTGGGATGAATTCTGTGGAGCAATTCATGCTCGAGAGCTCCCCGCGGGGTCACACTGAACTGGACAGCCGCTGAGCCCACATCCTCGCTCAGCAGTACCCCACCCTAGGCTGCATTCCTCCTTCCCTTCCGAGAGCACGTTCTCAATAAGTCACTTGCACAAGGCTCCTCTGTTCTGCCCCGAAGGATCTCACCCCAGACAACCCTCATCAGGGGATGGTTAAACACACATGACGTGTCCAAACAGCAGAAAGCTGGTAAGCACGGGGAAGGAAGGCGTGAGATAAATCATACTAGGATGGAATGCTGCTAAATGAAAAAAAAAAAAAGCCAAAGAACATAGCATATAGTATTTAGCCCATGTGTATGTATGTTTATATAAAGACATTCATATATGAACAGAACAAGAATTTACATAAATATGTTAACAGTGGTTATCTCCAGATGGTTCCATTATGATGAACTTTCAAAGCCGTTCATGTCTGTTTTGTCTGAATTAAACAAATTTTTTTAATGTATGCCAAGTCAATGGCAAGTGAATTTTTTTTTTAAAAAGTGATGTATTATCATTGTAACCATGTAATAAAGAAACAGCTCTGAAGACAAAGAGACCTGGAGTCAAATTGCAGCTCTACCACCTACCAGATGTGATCACCTGCTCCTCTGAGCCTCAATATTCTCATTTCCAAAATGAGGAGAATATCTAACTTAGGGAGTTGTGGTGGGGATGAAATGACACAAAGCATAAAGGATACTTTTCTCTTAGCAAAGTATCTGCCACATAGTAAGCATGCAATGATGGTAAACATTTTTATAACTTTTACTTTACAGTGGCCGTCTTTAGGTAGTGAGATTATGAGATTTATTTTTTCTTCCTACTTTTGTTTCAAAATTGTCTTTAGTCAGTACCTTAGCAATAATCAACAAGTTATATATTTCAAGTCTTGTATCAATGATGTGTCTCCATATTTGGGGGTCTGTAATGAACTCCCCAAGAGAAAAGAGAATGCATTGCCTGACCCTTCTAGTTAGAGCGTCAGTACCCATAGAATGTGCATATTTCAGCTACAAAATCAGGGTAGGGGAAGAAACTGGACATCAACAAAAGGAGGCAAGAGCACACAAAATAGGTTAAAAGGATGCCACATATGAAGTCATGAAATATGACTGACTCCTTAGCACGCTGAAGGCAAATGCACAAGTCCTAACTTAGGTCCCCTGAGTCAGAATCCTCAGGAGTAGATGCTGGGACTCTGTATGCTTAACCAACATCAAATCATTATGATTCACAATAAAGCTTGAGAACTCTGACTTAGTTGAATTAATTTTTTTCTTTTTCTTTTTTTTTTTTTTTAGAGACAGAGTCTCCCTCTGTCACCCAGGCTGGAGTGCAGTGGCACAACCGTAGCTCACTATAGCCTCCAACTCCTAGGCTCAAACGATCCTCTTGCCTCAGCCTCCTGAGTAGCTGGGACCACAGGCATGTGCCACCATGCCTGGCTAATTTTTTTTTTTTGTAGAGATGGAGTCTCACCATGTTGCCCCGGCTGGTCTCAAACTCCTGGGCTCAAGCAATTCTTCCACCTCAGCCTCCCAAAGTGCTGGGATTAAAGGCATCAGCCTCTGTGTCCAGCCCCTAAATTAATTTTTAAAATACCTGAAATCCTCTAAAGTAGACCAAATAAACAGATTCCAAAATTGTATCAAGAGTTCCTCAAGAGGTCTTCTAAAATTGATAAAAATGAATTTAAACTTTTTTAATGAAATGATAAAAATGATTTACTCATTTGATGAATCAGCTTTAAGTAGAAAGTTTTGTATTCAAATGGGCAGCCTGCTCTTCCCACCCTGCTCCACTCTCTCGACTCCCCTGTCTTCCCACCCTACTCCACTCTCTCCACTCCCCTCTCTTAGCCATGGGGCCCAGCCATCCTGGGCCACCCAGAGGCCTCGGTGAGACCCACAGGAGTAATAGGCAAAGGCAAGTGTGTGCAGAGCTTGCAGCCACAGGTAGGGCTGGAGTTGGGACCAGAGTCTTCAGAGCTTAATTTGGGGCTGAGGTGAGGCCTTAGATGAAGCCAGGGCCAGGGTCATTTTAGAGCCAAGGCCCAGCCTGGGACACTCAGCCTCAGCTCCTGGGTCTGTGGACAGATGGGCAAGACCCCTCCCAGTGCCTCAGGGAAGCTTCCCAGCCTAGGCAGCAAATTCTACAGGCACTCCCTCAGAGCTGGCCTGGAGCTCACACCTGTCTGCCCAGGCCTGGGGCCAGCAGGCCAGAGTGAGTGCAGCCTGGGAGCAAGGAAATGATGGAGTCTGAGGAAGGCATGAGGCTAGAACCACCTTACCTGGTTCAGTGAGGTCCCCCATGGCAGCCATCACTGGCCCCTTCTGCTCCTTGGGGATCATCCTGTGGAGGAGAGACCCCCATAAATGGACCAGGCTGCCTCCATTTCTCCCCAGACCTCCTTCCAGTCTCTGGTTCACCCTGCCCCAGTCCTGAACAGCTTTAGGCCAGCCCCAAATCACAAGCAAGGGATGTCTGAGCTGGAAGGGACTTCAGGGTCTCCGTGCAGAGGAGACTGAGGCCCAGGGAACGAGAGGGAGGTGCTCAAGTTTGCACGAATCTATTTTCATGTTGCTAGGGAAGCACTGTCTCTTCAGGGGTGGTTTCTAGGGCCTTTTCCCAGCTCTGGCATCCTGATCAGAGGGAGAGTAGGTGCCAGGGGCATCCGGGTGGGGCAGGCAAAGGTCTCAGGCACTACTGTCATCGGTTGACCCAGGAGAGTCCTAGTCCAAGGCTGAAAGAAGTTGGAGGTTTAAGTTAGGGGAAGGGGGAGGATGGACTAGGTTGGGGTTACACTGGGGTCTGCAAGGCTGGTGAGCCCCTTTCATCCTTGGCACTTGGCCCTGACGCTTGAGGGCACAGGCTGGTCCAACCAAGCAGAGAGAACCATCCCCCGTCCTCCCCATCTCCCCGCTACTGGGCTAACTTCCGTGGTGTTCTCTTCTCCCTCGTCCCTTCTCTTCCTCCTGTTCCATCCCCCTATTTGTATCTCATGGCACTTTCAAAGAATCTTGGAAGAGATTTGCAAATAAAATGAGGTCCAGAGCCCTTAACTTGCCCAGGTACCTTAACTTGCCCTCTGGAGAAGAGGCAGAGCCCTTGAGCTCCTCGACTGACCACCCACCTGGGTACCCTTCTCCTTTGCCTCCAGGTTTTCCTATACTCCTTCCTTTAGAAAACAATCTGCCTTCATCTGTATCCCCAACACCGACAAGGGGCCCTGGGAGTCAGTGGGCACTGCATTGTGCAACTGGAGTCTAGTGGGTGTCCCTGGCTTTCTCTGTAACTGCGAACAAGTAGCTTTCCAGCTCTGCACCTCAGTTCCCCCATCTGTAACAGTAGGGGGTTAGGCTAAATCACAGAGATCCATGGATGGGCTTTAGGGTGTTCACAAACCCCCTAAAACTATACGTAAACATGAGTGTGTCTACATGCATTTGGGGTGAGGGTCATGGGATGATTGAGAATGCCTCGATCACAACCGTTTAGGATTCCACAGTCCACAGATCTGTTTCTTGATAAACACTCCCTTTACAGAAATTCACAGATGCTGGGAAGGGTCTCTCATTTTACAGAGAAGCTGCTTCCCTCTACTGCCTAAAAATCCCAAAGTCCTGAGCAGAGCCATTACCTATTCCCCACCTTTAATCCTAGCCACACCCTCCCCATTTAATGCAGGGTAACCTAGAGCTTAGAGTTCCTCTCCTCCCAAACCAGGATCGAGGCTTGCATGGGGCCCCAAACTCCCTAGATCCACTGCAGGGCCCTTCCTCTCCGGGGGAAGGAGCTCTGGGGATTGGCTCACCTCCTCTGCCCACTCCCCTGAGTTCCCCAAGCTCCCCTAGGATGCTGGTACCTGAGAGGATGGGACCACAATAGGCAGGAGGGAATCTTAGACCCTCAAGATTAACACCTCTGTCGGGAAGCTGAGAGTTGCGTGGCGTCCCTGTAGGCAGTCAGCGGTCAGCAGTCAGTAGGCAGCGAGCAGGGTGTCCCCTGCAGCCAGCTCTGGCTTCAGCTGATGAGAATCATTCCTGCCTTGCCATGGGTCACAGCCTTATTTCGGGCTGCAATAGGAGCTGGAGCCAGAGGCTAAAAGCACCAGACCCTAGGGAAGACAGGTGCCCTGGCAACAGGCCTGTGCAGACAGAGGGCTTGCACCCACGTGTACACACACACTCACATATGCACACACCAAAGTCACCTGGAAATGTTGAGGGTCAGCTGCTGGTAGCTTCCGCTTGTTAACTGTTATATCCTTAGTGCCAAGAATGGTGCTTGATAGGAACTCAGCAGATATTTGTCGAAGGAAGGAATGGATGGATAGATAGATGGATGAATGAATTGCTCCTCAATATCTTTGCTTGACTTATCCTTTTCTTCCTTCCTTTCTTCTCTCCTGCCTTTCTTCTTCTGCCTCCTTCCTGCCTGCCTTCTTTTCTCCCCTCCTCCCTCCCTCCCTCCCTCCCTCTACCTTCTCACATTCCCTGAGCCTCTCTCTAAGGACTGAAAATAAATAAGGCAGGGCTCTGTCTTCAAGGAGCTCAGCCAGGTCAGATTCAGACGGGTAAACAAGCTTTGGGGAAGGCTCTGGGAGAGCCCAGGGGAGGGAGTTACCAGCTCAGCCTGGGGTGGGGGGTGAGAAGGCTTCCCAGAGGAGGACACACTGGAGTTGGGCCTTGAAGGATGAGTGGGAGTTCACTGGGCAGAGAAGGGGCATGGCAGGCAGTGGACATGTCACCTACAAAGATGGGTAGGGGGTTGGCAAGTAGAGCCGGAGCTGGGGGCAGTGCTGAGAGATTAGCCCAGACAGTGGGGGCAGCGGCCAGATCCCAGCAGGCTTTCAAAAGGAAACTGTGTTTATAAAGGGTTGCTGACAAGATTAAAGTGGTGAAATGGAGTGATCGGATTGGCATTTTCCAAAGATATCTTTGCTGCCATGTGGGAAATGGGTTGGAGGGGGCCAGACTGGAGGCAGGAGGACCTGACTGTCACCAGGGGTGGCTGGATCAGGGCAGTGACAAGGAGATGGAGAGGAGAGGGAGTTGAGGGTTATTTGAAGAACCCTTGGGTCTTGGTGAGGAACTGGATGTGGAAGGTGAGGAAAGGGAGTCCCACTCCCCTGTTTCATGCTTGGGTGACTGGAAGGGGAGGAGCAGGAGGGGTGGGGGCAGACACTGAGGTCAGTTTTGGATGAACTTTGAGGTGTCGGGGGACTGGGATGAGATCACCAGTAGGCAATGGGACACTGTGCTGCAGTGAGGCCCCAGCCGAAGATAAAGATTGGGTCCAAGGCACACACTCCTGGGGAAGGGTGGGCCTAGCAAGGATGGGCTGGGTGCAGGGTGGGGACCACCGGTGTCTGTGTGCTGGCAGACTATCCTGGGGTGTATTTCTGACACCTCTCAAATCAGAAGCCTAGATTCTGCTGTCCACCACCCTGACCTTAGCTTCCTGGCCCTCGGTGGGCCTGAGCTTCTAGAGAGGAAGAGTGAGGTGTGTTCCCAGGGCAAGCTTAGCCTCACCTGGGAGCAGGATCACAATCCCCTTCTCTGGCCAAAGGACACTCCTGCCAGGAGAGGATGCCTCATGGCCCGAGTCCTTGCCTCACTGGGGCTGCCTGGCTCAGACGGGACCTCTTACAGTGGCGCCTTTCCTGCCCTGGCACCCCCACCTGCCATGAGGAAACAGCCTCAGAGCACAGAGCCCTGACCCAGCTTGGCCCTGCCCACTCTGGTGATAGTGCTCTGTGGTCAGGGCCTGGACAATACCACCCTGAGACATTACCTAGACCCACTCTCCCCATTATACGGATGGGGAAGCTGAGGCCTAGAGAAGGAGTGGGCTCACCCAGGGTCACCCCGCTCGTCCATGACAGGACCAGGACTGCAGTCCAGGTACTTCTATGGCCTCAAGTTGTCCGTTGTTCCCATCTCTCCCCATGGCTGCTTCTTCCCAAGCTCCCATCCCATATGTCTCAAATATTCCCAGCCACCCAGAGTCCCATGGACTGCTCCATGCTTGGGGAGAAGGGAAGGACATCAGACACAGCTGAAAATGACACAGGAGGCAGAAGAATGCAGGAAGCATTTATTGAGGGCCAGAGCTGCATTCTACAAGAGGCAAGAGGCAGGACACAGGCAATCTCTAGTGGGTTAGAGGAGAGGTTGGGGAGAGGGCAGTGACAATGAGAGAACAGCCAGGCGCTGGCTTGGGAACTGCCGGTTTCTCAAGGCTGCCTCCTGCTAGTCCTCTGGGAAATGCAGGTAGAAATGGATCCTCTATGCTACTGCCTCAGCCAGAGGCCTGATGGTGTCCCTTCCCTGGGAGGGGCCCTTAGCCCCAGTCTCCTGTGCTACAAGGGACCCAGCAGCAGGTAGGGGCTTTGGTAAATATAGTCACTCATCATTAACTGAGTAAGAGCACCTTCTCATCTTCACAGCAGCAGGAGCATTCCTGAGGCCCAAGGAGCCCTCTAAGGTCACTCTTTCATTCCAAAGCACCCTGTCCCAACCCTATCTTCCATACTGACCTTAACTCCCTCCAGCCTCACTTGGGGGTTCCAGATCTAACATCACCCCGGTAAGTCCCAAACCCAAACTGTCCCTCACCTTTAGCAACATCCTGGTATCCTTTCACCTACATACGTTTGATCCTCAGCCAATTCCATACCCCCAGCTGATCCTGAAGCTAATATTCTGAACCTCTAGAAGGCTCTACCAGCCAACTCTGGAAACTACAGAACTCAGCCATATTCCTCCCTGAGTCCCCCCTGGGGACCTGAATCACAGCCACCAAGGTTTAGGGAACCAGTGAGGGCCTGCAGCCAGGCTCCCCCAGGTCACTGGGCACCAGGCACTAGCTAGGTCAGAGTGCACTGGGGAAGGGATGGGGCAGGATAATGTCTACTTTTCTGGGCACGATATGGACACTGGGACTGAGGTCTGACACTGAAGAAGGGGACATTTCCAAGGGGACCAGAAATACAGGCAGACCCTAACTTAACACCCTGCTCACGTACCCAAGCTCATCGGCCCCTAAATTCAAGCCCAACTAGCCCACCACCACCACCCACCCCCGACTTCCTAATATCATGGAATGCATTTCAAGACTGGAAGAGCCCTCAGGGGTCATCTGAGCCAATCCTGTCCCCTGCTAGAATCTCCTCTATGCATCCTGGCCATGCTTTTCATATTTCCCGTAACAAGTAACTCTTTGTCTCTCTCTTTCCCAATAAGCAACCCCAAACTGAGGGCAATCAGGTAAAGTCACATGGTAGCTCTGTATCTCTTCTCTCCCCAGTTCAGCTTTGAGCCCAGAACCTGCCATGAATGGGCCCAGAAGGAACAGATGAGCTGGAGGCCCAAGTCCTGGGCCTAAGGGAAATCACTGCCTTATAATTCTCTTATGGCTGCAGATAAGATGTCCTGGACAGTCTGAACTGGGATGGAGAAAGTAGCATGACAGGGACCCGGGGAGAATTTTCCTGCCTCTTCCCTCCAGAGGGGATAGTGGGACACCTTGAGCTGGCCTGGGAGACCTCTCTAAAGGTCATTGTGATAAAAATAGAGCTTGTCTGGGAAGGGATGGAAAACAGCTGCTCCTGCCTGGGACTTGGTGCCAGGGAGCCGGATGGTCAGGCCAGTGCCTGGACATGCGACACAGGCCTAGGACCTTCTGAACACACCCCGCTTGCCAGACTCCAGACAGCAGAGCCAGGAGGGGAGGGACGAGTATGGAACCCTGAAGGTAGCAAGTCCAGGGGTCCATATACACACTGCCCCGCCTCATCCAAGGCACTAACTAGTGTGTGTGTGTGTGTGTGTGTGTGTGTGTGTGTGTGTGTGTGTGAGAGAGAGAGAGAGAGAAAGAGAGAGTGTGTGTGCATCGGTGTGTGTACTGATGGGAAGGGGAATTTTGACGTTTGTGGATTGCCTTGGCCAAAGCCACCATTAAACAGATGGGAAAGCTGAGGGTCAAACAAGGAAGGGTCTTACCCAGGGTCACACAACAGCTGAATGAGAGCAAGGGCTAGAACTCAAGCTTGCGTCCCTAACCCATCCCCAACCCCAGAGCTCTCCTCTGCTGACCCCTCATCTCTGGGGCTGCCCAAAGAGGCCAGACCCTTTGGGTCCCCCAGGTCTAATGAGCCTTCTTCTGGCTCTGCCCTCCCGGGGTGGGGTCGGGGGTGGGGCTCTAGGTGGTGCAGGAGGCCTCGGCGGGGAGGCTGCCACGCTTGAGCCGAAGGCTGCCATTCCACCCGCGGGGACAGATATTGTAGCCCAGGATGCCTGGAGACTTAGCCCCGGAGTCCTCGGAGTCGAGGGACACGTCGGAGTCCGTGGGCGAGCGGCGGTAGAGGAAGGGCCTGGGAGGCGCGGGCAGCGGGCTCCGGGGACTGGTGCAGGACGAAGGACCGGCGGGCAACGGGCTCCGCGGGATGGGCGCGAAGGCTGCCCCCGGCACAGCAGCCGAGCCGGGGCGGGCGGGCTGTGGCGAGCGCATGCGCGGGGGCGGGGGCGGGGGCGGGGGCGGGGGCGGTGGCGCCCTCGGCGGGGAGAAGGGCCGCGGGTTCTCGGCGCCCGCCGACCGCGGGGAGGCGCTCTTGCGCCGGGCCGCATTGATGATGTTTCGCGCCAGAAGCGCCTGCAGCTGGCGGCTGGGGGGCCGCGCCTCGGTCTCAGGTCGCAGCGGGGACACCGAGCGCTCGCTCCACGAGGGAGACATGGGCGGTGGCGGCGGCAGCGGCGGGGGGCTGCTCATGCTGCTCCCGCGACCTGGCTCCCACGGGCCCGGGCTCACCCAGCCGTCTAGGCTGCTGGGGGGCCGGGACGCGCCCGGCGTCCAGGGTGGGGAGGTGGGCAGGCTCTCCCGGCGGTCCTGGGGAGAGAGCAGAGAGGGTGGGGCAGGCATTAGTGCTGAGGTCTTCCACACCGGGCTTTAGGAAGGGACGGAGTCCGATTTGTCCATTACACCGAGAAGGGAAGCCACCGATCCAAGTCAGGTAGTGCCTGCAATAAAACGCAGGCGCCCAAACTCTCAGCCCGGAACGCCTGAAGAGTCCCCGCTGTCTTGTGTCTGCCTCCGTGTTAAGAAGACTCGCTTTGGAGAGAGCCGCCTTAACTTACTAACTGAGCTTGGGCAAGTTACTTCACCCCTCTGGGCTTCAGTTTCTGCTTCTGTAAAATGGGGTGTGATAACAGTACTTAACCTTATAGGGTTGTTGTGAGGGTTAAATGAGATAACTGATGGAAAAGAACATTACATATATCGGCACATTCCTTGGAAGAAAGTGCTCAATAGATGTTGATTACCATAAAGAAATACCAGAAGGGCTTGGCGCGGTGGCCCGCGCCTGTAGTCCCAGCACTTTGGGAGGCCGAGGCGGGTGGATCACCTGAGGTCAGGAGTTCGAGACCAGCCTGGCCAACATGCAGAAACCCTGTCTCTACTAAAAATACAAAAATTAGTGGCACGGTGGCGCGTGCCTGTAGTCCCAGCTACTGCGGGGGCTGAGGCAGGAGGATCGCTTGAACCTCAGAGGCGGAGGTTGCAGTGAGCCGACATCGTGCCACCGCACTCCAGCCTGGGCAACACAGCGAGACTCTGTCTCAATTTAAAAAAAATACTAGAAGGATATACATGAAACTAACCAAAATGGTCACCTGTTAGGAAATGGGGTGAGAACAGGAACAGGGCACACAGTCTGAGGCACTGGGAGCTGCTCTGTCTGTGGCACATCCCGGGAAGCTTTCAGTCAGGCTAGCTGAGGGAGGCTTCGGTTTCCCCATGACTTAGGGAGAGGAGCTGGGAGGGAGGTCCCGGGCCCAGGGCCACATGGGAAGAACTAGATAGAGGCTGAGACTAGTGTCTCAGGGCCAAATGCCAAGTCAGGGTGGGCTCTGTGTGTCCTCTCATCTGACCACAGTGTCACCCTGAGCAGGGAGGTGGGGCCTAGAGCTCATGACCCAAGCCAGTCAGCAACTATTGAGGCAGGGGAACCTGGCTCTTCAGCCAAGAGAGTAGGCTGGGGCAGGGAGATGGGAATAAGGCTTTTTAATATATTACTTTTTATATAAGTTTAGATTTCTGAACCATATGAATGTATTATCTATTATCAAAATTAAAATGTAAAAATATTGACCATTATTATTTTTTAAGATGGAGTTTCGCTCTTGTTGCTCAGGCTGGAGTGCAATGGCACAATCTCAGCTCACCGCAACTTCTGCCTCCTGGGTTCAAGTGATTCTCCTGCCTCAGCCTCCCGAGTAGCTGGGATTACAGGTGCCTGCCACTACACCTGGCTAATTTTGTATTTTTAGTAGAGACGGGGTTTCTCCATGTTGGTCAGGCTG